>NC_000023.11:60380602-60550108 GCF_000001405.40 Homo sapiens
CATAACTGAACGGAAGCAAACTCAGAACATTCTTTGTGATGTTTGTATTCAATTCACAGAGTTGAACCTTCCTTTGATAGTTCAGGTTTGCAACACCCTTGTAGTAGAATCTGCAAGTGTATATTTTGACCACTTTGTAGCCTTCGTTTGAAACGTCTATATCTTCACATCAAACCTAGACAGAAGCATTCTCAGAAAGTTTTCTGCGATGACTGCATTCAACTCACAGAGTTGAACAATCCTTCTGATGGAGCAGTTTTTAAACCCTCTTTCTTTGGAATCTGCAAGGGGATATGTGGACCTCTTTGAAGATTTCACTGGAAACGGGATCATCTTCACATAAAAACTAAACAGAAGCATTCTCGGAAACTACTTTGTGATGTTTGTATTCAACTCCCAGAGTTGAACTTTCCTTTTGAAAGAGCAGCTATGAAACACTCTTTTTCGAGAATCTGCAAGTGGACGTTTGGAGGGCTTTGAGGCCTGTGGTGGAAAAGGAAATATCTTCACATAAAAACTAGATAGAAGCATTCTCAGAAACGACTTTGTGAGGATGGCATTCAACACATGGAGTTGAACAATCCTATTGATAGAGCAGATTGGAATCACTCTTTTTGTAGAATCTGCAAATGGAGATTTGGACTGCTTTGAGGCCTACGGTCGTATAGGAAGGAAGTTCATATAAAAGGCAAACGGAAGCATTCTCAGAATATTCTTTGTGATGATGGAGTTTCACTCACAGAGCTGAACATGCCTTTTGATGGAGCAGTTTCCAAATACACTTTTGGTAGAATCTGCAGGTGGATATTTGGAGCTCTCTGAGGATTTCGTTGGAAACGGGAATAATTTCCCATAACTAAACACAAACACGCTGAGAAAGTTCTTCATGATGAATGCATTTAACTCGCAGAGATGAACCTGCCTTTGAGAGTTCAGGTTTGAAACACTCTTTCTGTAGAATCTGCAAGTGGATATTTGGACCACTGGCTGGCTTTCGTTCGAAACGGGTATATGTTCACGTAAAAACTAAAGAGAAGCGTTCTCAGAAACTTCTGAGTGATGATTGCATTCAAGTCACACAGTTGAACCCTCCTTTTGATTGAGCAGTTTTGAAACTGTCTTTTTGTAGAATCTGTAAGTGGATGCGTGGACCTCTTTGAAGATTTCTTTGGAAACGGGAATATTTCCACAGAAAAACTAAACTGAAGCATTCTCAGAAACTGCTTTGTGATGTTTGTGTTCGAGCCGCAGAGTTTAACATTGCTTTTCATAGAGCAGTTTTGAAATATTCTTTTGGCAGAATCTGCAAGTGGACATTTGGAGCGCTTTCAGGCCTGTGGTGGAAAAGGCCTGAAAGCCTTTTCCTTTATCTTCACAGAAAGACGAGAGAGAAGCATTGTCAGAAACTTCTTTGTGATGATTGCATTCAACTCACAGAGTTGAAGATTCCTTTTGAAACAGCAGTTTCGAAACACTCTTTCTGTGGGATCCGCAAGGGGATATTTGGATCTATTTGAAGGTTTCGTTGGAAAATGGATAATCGTCACCTAAAAGCTAAGCGGAAGCATTCTCAGTAAACTTCTTTGGGATGTTTGCATTCACCTCACAGAGTTGAACTTTCCCTTTGATAGCGCAGCTTCGACACACTTTTTCTACAATGTGCAAGTGGATATTTAGCGGGCTTGGAGCACTGTGTTGGAAAAGGAAATATCTTCTCCTAAAAACGACATAGAAGCATTCTCAGAAACTGCTCTGTGATGATTGCATTCAACTCCCAGAGTTGAACATTCCTTTTGATAGAGCAGTTTGCAAACACTCTTTTTGTAGAATCTGCAAGTGGAGATTTGGACCGCTTTGAGGCCTGTGGTAGTGAAGGAAAGAACTTCATATAAAAACCAGACGGTAGCACTCTCAGAAAATTCTTTGTGACGATGGAGTTTAACTCAGGGAGCTGAACATTCGTTATGATGGAGCAGTTTCCAAACACACGTTTTGTAGAATCTGCAAGGGGATATTTGGACCTCTCTGAGGATTTCGTTGGAAACGGGATCAACTTCCCATAACTGAACGGAAGCAAACTCAGAACATTCTTTGTGATGTTTGTATTCAACTCACAGAGTTGAACCTTCCTTTGATAGTTCAGGTTTGCAACACCCTTGTAGTAGAATCTGCAAGTGTATATTTTGACCACTTTGTAGCCTTCGTTTGAAACGTCTATATCTTCACATCAAACCTAGACAGAAGCATTCTCAGAAAGTTTTCTGCGATGACTGCATTCAACTCACAGAGTTGAACAATCCTTCTGATGGAGCAGTTTTGAAACCCTCTTTCTTTGGAATCTGCAAGGGGATATGTGGACCTCTTTGAAGATTTCACTGGAAACGGGATCATCTTCACATAAAAACTAAACAGAAGCATTCTCGGAAACTACTTTGTGATGTTTGTATTCAACTCCCAGAGTTGAACTTTCCTTTTGAAAGAGCAGCTATGAAACACTCTTTTTCGAGAATCTGCAAGTGGACGTTTGGAGGGCTTTGAGGCCTGTGGTGGAAAAGGAAATATCTTCACACAAAAACCAGATAGAAGCATTCTCAGAAACTACTTTGTGAGGATGGCATTCAACTCATGGAGTTGAACAATCCTATTGATAGAGAAGATTGGAATCACTCTTTTTGTAGAATCTGCAAATGGAGATTTGGACTGCTTTGAGGCCTACGGTAGTACAGGAAGGAAGTTCATATAAAAGGCAAACGGAAGCATTCTCAGAATATTCTTTGTGATGATGGAGTTTCACTCACAGAGCTGAACATGCCTTTTGAGATGGGAGCAGTTTCCAAATACACTTTTGGTAGAATCTGCAGGTGGATATTTGGAGCTCTCTGAGGATTTCGTTGGAAACGGGAATAATTTCCCATAACTAAACACAAACACGCTGAGAAAGTTCTTCATGATGAATGCATTTAACTCGCAGAGATGAACCTGCCTTTGAGAGTTCAGGTTCGAAACACTCTTTCTGTAGAATCTGCAAGTGGATATTTGGACCACTGGGTGGCCTTCATTCGAAACGGGTATATGTTCACGTAAAAACTAAAGAGAAGCGTTCTCATAAACTTCTGAGTGATGATTGCATTCAAGTCACACAGTTGAACTCTCCTTTTGATTGAGCAGTTTTGAAACTGTCTTTTTGTAGAATCTGTAAGTGGATGCGTGGACCTCTTTGAAGATTTCTTTGGAAACGGGAATATTTCCACAGAAAAACTAAACTGAAGCATTCTCAGAAACTGCTTTGTGATGTTTGTGTTCGAGCCACAGAGTTTAACATTGCTTTTCATAGAGCAGTTTTGAAATATTCTTTTGGCAGAATCTGCAAGTGGACATTTGGAGCGCTTTCAGGCCTGTGGTGGAAAAGGCCTGAAAGCCTTTTCCTTTATCTTCACAGAAAGACGAGAGAGAAGCATTGTCAGAAACTTCTTTGTGATGATTGCATTCAACTCACAGAGTTGAAGATTCCTTTTGAAACAGCAGTTTCGAAACACTCTTTCTGTGGGATCCGCAAGGGGATATTTGGACCTCTTTGAAGATTTCGTTGGAAACGGGATAATCTTCACCTAAAAGCTAAACGGAAGCATTCTCAGAAACTTCTTTGGGATGTTCGCATTCACCTCACAGAGTTGAACTTTCCCTTTGATAGCGCAGCTTCGACACACTTTTTCTAAAATGTGCAAGTGGATATTTAGCGGGCTTGCAGGACTGTGTTGGAAAAGGAAATATCTTCTCCTAAAAACCACATAGAAGCATTCTCAGAAACTGCTCTGTGATGATTGCATTCAACTCCCAGAGTTGAACATTCCTTTTGATAGAGCAGTTTGCAAACACTCTTTTTGTAGAATCTGCAAGTGGAGATTTGGACCGCTTTGAGGCCTGTGGTAGTAAAGGAAAGAACTTCATATAAAAACTAGACGGTAGCACTCTCAGAAAATTTTTTGTGACGATGGAGTTTAACTCAGAGAGCTGAACATTCGTTATGATGGAGCAGTTTCCAAACACACGTTTTGTAGAATCTGCAAGGGGATATTTGGACCTCTCTGAGGATTTCGTTGGAAACGGGATCAACTTCCCATAACTGAACGGAAGCAAACTCAGAACATTCTTTGTGATGTTTGTATTCAACTCACAGAGTTGAACCTTCCTTTGATAGCTCAGGTTTGCAACACCCTTGTAGTAGAATCTGCAAGTGTATATTTTGACCACTTTGTAGCCTTCGTTTGAAACGTCTATATCTTCACATCAAACCTAGACAGAAGCATTCTCAGAAAGTTTTCTGCGATGACTGCATTCAACTCACAGAGTTGAACAATCCTTTTGATGGAGCAGTTTTGAAACCCTCTTTCTTTGGAATCTGCAAGGGGATATGTGGACCTCTTTGAAGATTTCACTGGAAACGGGATCATCTTCACATAAGAACTAAACAGAAGCATTCTCGGAAACTACTTTGTGATGTTTGTATTCAACTCCCAGAGTTGAACTTTCCTTTTGAAAGAGCAGCTATGAAACACTCTTTTTCGAGAATCTGCAAGTGGACGTTTGGAGGGCTTTGAGGCCTGTGGTGGAAAAGGAAATATCTTCACATAAAAACTAGATAGAAGCATTCTCAGAAACGACTTTGTGAGGATGGCATTCAACTCATGGAGTTGAACAATCCTATTGATAGAGCAGATTGGAATCACTCTTTTTGTAGAATCTGCAAATGGAGATTTGGACTGCTTTGAGGCCTACGGTAGTATAGGAAGGAACTTCATATAAAAGGCAAACGGAAGCATTCTCAGAATATTCTTTGTGATGATGGAGTTTCACTCACAGAGCTGAACATGCCTTTTGATGGAGCAGTTTCCAAATACACTTTTGGTAGAATCTGCAGGTGGATATTTGGACCTCTCTGAGGATTTCGTTGGAAACGGGAATAATTTCCCATAACTAAACACAAACACTCTGAGAAAGTTCTTCATGATGAATGCATTGAACTCGCAGAGATGAACCTGCCTTTGAGAGTTCAGGTTCGAAACACTCTTTCTGTAGAATCTGCAAGTGGATATTTGGACCACTGGCTGGCCTTCGTTCGAAACGGGTATATGTTCACGTAAAAACTAAAGAGAAGCATTCTCAGAATCTTCTGAGTGATGATTGCTTTCAAGTCACACAGTTGAACCCTCCTTTTGATTGAGCAGTTTTGAAACTGTCTTTTTGTAGAATCTGTAAGTGGATACGTGGACCTCTTTGAAGATTTCTTTGGAAACGGGAATATTTCCACAGAAAAACTAAACTGAAGTATTCTCAGAAACTGCTTTGTGATGTTTGTGTTCGAGCCACAGAGTTTAACATTGCTTTTCATAGAGCAGTTTTGTAATATTCTTTTCGCAGTATCTGCAAGCGGATATTTGGAGCGCTTTCAGGCCTGTGGTGGAAAAGGCCTGAAAGCCTTTTCCTTTATCTTCACAGAAAGACGAGAGAGAAGCATTGTCAGAAACTTCTTTGTGATGATTGCATTCAACTCACAGAGTTGAAGATTCCTTTTGAAACAGCAGTTTCGAAACACTCTTTCTGTGGGATCCGCAAGGGGATATTTGGACCTCTTTGAAGATTTCGTTGGAAACGGGATAATCTTCACCTAAAAGCTAAACGGAAGTATTCTCAGAAACTTCTTTGGGATGTTTGCATTCACCTCACAGAGTTGAACTTTCCCTTTGATAGCGCAGCTTCGACACACTTTTTCTACAATGTGCAAGTGGATATTTAGCGGGCTTGGAGGACTGTGTTGGAAAAGGAAATATCTTCTCCTAAAAACGACATAGAAGCATTCTCAGAAACTGCTCTGTGATGATTGCTTTCAACTCCCAGAGTTGAACATTCCTTTTGATAGAGCAGTTTGCAAACACTCTTTTTGTAGAATCTGCAAGTGGAGATTTGGACCGCTTTGAGGCCTGTGGTAGTAAAGGAAACAACTTCATATAAAAACCAGAGGGTAGCACTCTCAGAAAATTCTTTGTGACGATGGAGTTTAACTCAGAGAGCTGAACATCCGTTATGATGGAGCAGTTTCCAAACACACGTTTTGTAGAATCTGCAAGGGGATATTTGGACCTCTCTGAGGATTTCGTTGGAAACGGGATCAACTTCCCATAACTGAACGGAAGCAAACTCAGAACATTCTTTGTGATGTTTGTATTCAACTCACAGAGTTGAACCTTCCTTTGATAGTTGAGGTTTGCATCACCCTTGTAGTAGAATCTGCAAGTGTATATTTTGACCACTTTGTAGCCTTCGTTTGAAACGTCTATATCTTCACATCAAACCTAGACAGAAGCATTCTCAGAAAGTTTTCTGCGATGACTGCATTCAACTCACAGAGTTGAACAATCCTTTTGATGGAGCAGTTTTGAAACCCTCTTTCTTTGGAATCTGCAAGGGGATATGTGGACCTCTTTGAAGATTTCACTGGAAACGGGATCATCTTCACATAAGAACTAAACAGAAGCATTCTCGGAAACTACTTTGTGATGTTTGTATTCAACTCCCAGAGTTGAACTTTCCTTTTGAAAGAGCAGCTATGAAACACTCTTTTTCGAGAATCTGCAAGTGGACGTTTGGAGGGCTTTGAGGCCTGTGGTGGAAAAGGAAATATCTTCACATAAAAACTAGATAGAAGCATTCTCAGAAACGACTTTGTGAGGATGGCATTCAACTCATGGAGTTGAACAGTCCTATTGATAGAGCAGATTGGAATCACTCTTTTTGTAGAATCTGCAAATGGAGATTTGGACTGCTTTGAGGCCTACGGTAGTATAGGAAGGAACTTCATATAAAAGGCAAACGGAGGCATTCTCAGAATATTCTTTGTGATGATGGAGTTTCACACACAGAGCTGAACATGCCTTTTGATGGAGCAGTTTCCAAATACACTTTTGGTAGAATCTGCAGGTGGATATTTGAACCTCTCTGAGGATTTCGTTGGAAACGGGAATAATTTCCCATAACTAAACACAAACACGCTGAGAAAGTTCTTCATGATGAATGCATTTAACTCGCAGAGATGAACCTGCCTTTGAGAGTTCAGGTTCGAAACACTCTTTCTGTAGAATCTGCAAGTGGATATTTGGACCACTGTGTGGCCTTCGTTCGAAACGGGTATATGTTCACGTAAAAACTAAAGAGAAGCATTCTCAGAAACTTCTGAGTGATGATTGCATTCAAGTCACACAGTTGAACCCTCGTTTTGATTGAGCAGTTTTGAAACTGTGTTTTTGTAGAATCTGTAAGTGGATGCGTGGACCTCTTTGAAGATTTCTTTGGAAACGGGAATATTTCCACAGAAAAACTAAACTGAAGCATTCTCAGAAACTGCTTTGTGATGTTTGTGTTCGAGCCGCAGAGTTTAACATTGCTTTTCATAGAGCAGTTTTGAAATATTCTTTTGGCAGAATCTGCAAGTGGACATTTGGAGCGCTTTCAGGCCTGTGGTGGAAAAGGCCTGAAAGCCTTTTCCTTTATCTTCACAGAAAGACGAGAGAGAAGCATTGTCAGAAACTTCTTTGTGATGATTGCATTCAACTCACAGAGTTGAAGATTCCTTTTGAAACAGCAGTTTCGAAACACTCTTTCTGTGGGAACCGCAAGGGGATATTTGGATCTATTTGAAGGTTTCGTTGGAAACTGGATAATCGTCACCTAAAAGCTAAACGGAAGCATTCTCAGAAACTTCTTTTGGATGTTTGCATTCACCTCACAGAGTTGAATTTTCCCTTTGATAGCGCAGCTTCGACACACTTTTTCTACAATGTGCAAGTGGATATTTAGCGGGCTTGGAGGACTGTGTTGGAAAAGGAAATATCTTCTCCTAAAAACGACATAGAAGCATTCTCAGAAACTGCTCTGTGATGATTCCATTCAACTCCCAGAGTTGAACATTCCTTTTGATAGAGCAGTTTGCAAACACTCTTTTTGTAGAATCTGCAAGTGGAGATTTGGACCGCTTTGAGGCCTGTGGTAGTAAAGGAAACAACTTCATATAAAAACCAGACGGTAGCACTCTCAGAAAATTCTTTGTGACGATGGAGTTTAACTCAGAGAGCTGAACATCCGTTATGATGGAGCAGTTTCCAAACACACGTTTTGTAGAATCTGCAAGGGGATATTTGGACCTCTCTGAGGATTTCGTTGGAAACGGGATCAACTTCCCATAACTGAACGGAAGCAAACTCAGAACATTCTTTGTGATGTTTGTATTCAACTCACAGAGTTGAACCTTCCTTTGATAGTTGAGGTTTGCATCACCCTTGTAGTAGAATCTGCAAGTGTATATTTTGACCACTTTGTAGCCTTCGTTTGAAACGTCTATATCTTCACATCAAACCTAAACAGAAGCATTCTCAGAAAGTTTTCTGCGATGACTGCATTCAACTCACAGAGTTGAACAATCCTTCTGATGGAGCAGTTTTGAAACCCTCTTTCTTTGGAATCTGCAAGGGGATATGTGGACCTCTTTGAAGATTTCACTGGAAACGGGATCATCTTCACATAAAAACTAAACAGAAGCATTCTCGGAAACTACTTTGTGATGTTTGTATTCAACTCCCAGAGTTGAACTTTCCTTTTGAAAGAGCAGCTATGAAACACTCTTTTTCGAGAATCTGCAAGTGGACGTTTGGAGGGCTTTGAGGCCTGTGGTGGAAAAGGAAATATCTTCACATAAAAACTAGATAGAAGCATTCTCAGAAACGACTTTGTGAGGATGGCATTCAACTCATGGAGTTGAACAATCCTATTGATAGAGCAGATTGGAATCACTCTTTTTGTAGAATCTGCAAATGGAGATTTGGACTGCTTTGAGGCCTACGGTCGTATAGGAAGGAACTTCATATAAAAGGCAAACGGAAGCATTCTCAGAATATTCTTTGTGATGATGGAGTTTCACTCACAGAGCTGAATATGCCTTTTGATGGAGCAGTTTCCAAATACACTTTTGGTAGAATCTGCAGGTGGATATTTGGAGCTCTCTGAGGATTTCGTTGGAAACGGGAATAATTTCCCATAACTAAACACAAACACTCTGAGAAAGTTCTTCATGATGAATGCATTTAACTCGCAGAGATGAACCTGCCTTTGAGAGTTCAGGTTCGAAACACTCTTTCTGTAGAATCTGCAAGTGGATATTTGGACCACTGGGTGGCCTTCGTTCGAAACGGGTATATGTTCACGTAAAAACTAAAGAGAAGCATTCTCAGAAACTTCTGAGTGATGATTGCATTCAAGTCACACAGTTGAACCCTCCTTTTGATGGAGCAGTTTTGAAACTGTCTTTTTGTAGAATCTGTAAGTGGATACGTGGACCTCTTTGAAGATTTCTTTGGAAACGGGAATATTTCCACAGAAAAACTAAACTGAAACATTCTCAGAAACCGCTTTGTGATGTTTGTGTTCCAGCCACAGAGTTTAACATTGCTTTTCATAGAGCAGTTTTGAAATATTCTTTTGGCAGAATCTGCAAGTGGACATTTGGAGCGCTTTCAGGCCTGTGGTGGCAAAGGCCTGAAAGCCTTTTCCTTTATCTTCACAGAAAGACGAGAGAGAAGCATTGTCAGAAACTTCTTTGTGATGATTGCATTCAACTCACAGAGTTGAAGATTCCTTTTGAAACAGCAGTTTCGAAACACTCTTTCTGTGGGATCCGCAAGGGGATATTTGGACCTCTTTGAAGGTTTCGTTGGAAACGGGATAATCTTCACCTAAAAGCTAAACGGAAGCATTCTCAGAAACTTCTTTGGGATGTTTGCATTCACCTCACAGAGTTGAACTTTCCCTTTGATAGCGCAGCTTTGACACACTTTTTCTACAATGTGCAAGTGGCTATTTAGCGGGCTTGGAGGACTGTGTTGGAAAAGGAAATATCTTCTCCTAAAAACGACATAGAAGCATTCTCAGAAACTGCTCTGTGATGATTGCATTCAACTCCCAGAGTTGAACATTCCTTTTGATAGAGCAGTTTGCAAACACTCTTTTTGTACAATCTGCAAGTGGAGATTTGGACCGCTTTGAGGCCTGTGGTAGTGAAGGAAAGAACTTCATATAAAAACCAGACGGTAGCACTCTCAGAAAATCCTTTGTGACGATGGAGTTTAATTCAGAGAGCTGAACATTCGTTATGATGGAGCAGTTTCCAAACACACGTTTTGTAGAATCTGCAAGGGGATATTTGGACCTCTCTGAGGATTTCGTTGGAAAAGGGATCAACTTCCCATAACTGAACGGAAGCAAACTCAGAACATTCTTTGTGACGTTTGTATTCAACTCACAGAGTTGAACCTTCCTTTGATAGTTCAGGTTTGCAACACCCTTGTAGTAGAATCTGCAAGTGTATATTTTGACCACTTTGTAGCCTTCGTTTGAAACGTCTATATCTTCACATCAAACCTAGACAGAAGCATTCTCAGAAAGTTTTCTGCGATGACTGCATTCAACTCACAGAGTTGAAAAATCCTTCTGATGGAGCAGTTTTGAAACCCTCTTTCTTTGGAATCTGCAAGGGGATATGTGGACCTCTTTGAAGATTTCACTGGAAACGGGATCATCTTCACATAAAAACTAAACAGAAGCATTCTCGGAAACTATTTTGTGATGTTTGTATTCAACTCCCAGAGTTGAACTTTCCTTTTGAAAGAGCAGCTATGAAACACTCTTTTTCGAGAATCTGCAAGTGGACGTTTGGAGGGCTTTGAGGCCTGTGGTGGAAAAGGAAATATCTTCACACAAAAACCAGATAGAAGCATTCTCAGAAACTACTTTGTGAGGATGGCATTCAACTCATGGAGTTGAACAATCCTATTGATAGAGCAGATTGGAATCACTCTTTTTGTAGAATCTGCAAGTGGAGATTTGGACCGCTTTGAGGTCTGTGGTAGTGAAGGAAAGAACTTCATATAAAAACCAGACGGTAGCACTCTGAGAAAATTCTTTGTGACGATGGAGTTTAACTCAGGGAGCTGAACATTCGTTATGATGGAGCAGTTTCCAAACACACGTTTTGTAGAATCTGCAAGGGGATATTTGGACCTCTCTGAGGATTTCGTTGGAAACGGGATCAACTTCCCATAACTGAACGGAAGCAAACTCAGAACATTCTTTGTGATGTTTGTATTCAACTCACAGAGTTGAACCTTCCTTTGATAGTTCAGGTTTGCAACACCCTTGTAGTAGAATCTGCAAGTGTATATTTTGACCACTTTGTAGCCTTCGTTTGAAACGTCTATATCTTCACATCAAACCTAGACAGAAGCATTCTCAGAAAGTTTTCTGCGATGACTGCATTCAACTCACAGAGTTGAACAATCCTTCTGATGGAGCAGTTTTGAAACCCTCTTTCTTTGGAATCTGCAAGGGGATATGTGGACCTCTTTGAAGATTTCACTGGAAACGGGATCATCTTCACATAAAAACTAAACAGAAGCATTCTCGGAAACTACTTTGTGATGTTTGTATTCAACTCCCAGAGTTGAACTTTCCTTTTGAAAGAGCAGCTATGAAACACTCTTTTTCGAGAATCTGCAAGTGGACGTTTGGAGGGCTTTGAGGCCTGTGGTGGAAAAGGAAATATCTTCACATAAAAACTAGATAGAAGCATTCTCAGAAACGACTTTGTGAGGATGGCATTCACCTCATGGAGTTGAACAATACTATTGATAGAGCAGATTGGAATCACTCTTTTTGTAGAATCTGCAAATGGAGATTTGGACTGCTTTGAGGCCTACGGTCGTATAGGAAGGAACTTCATATAAAAGGCAAACGGAAGCATTCTCAGAATATTCTTTGTGATGATGGAGTTTCACTCACAGAGCTGAACATGCCTTTTGATGGAGCAGTTTCCAAATACACTTTTGGTAGAATCTGCAGGTGGATATTTGGAGCTCTCTGAGGATTTCTTTGGAAACGGGAATAATTTCCCATAACTAAACACAAACACTCTGAGAAAGTTCTTCATGATGAATGCATTTAACTCGCAGAGATGAACCTGCCTTTGGGAGTTCAGGTTCGAAACACTCTTTCTGTAGAATCTGCAAGTGGATATTTGGACCACTGGGTGGCCTTCGTTCGAAACGGGTATATGTTCACGTAAAAACTAAAGAGAAGCATTCTCAGAAACTTCTGAGTGATGATTGCATTCAAGTCACACAGTTGAACCCTCCTTTTGATGGAGCAGTTTTGAAACTGTCTTTTTGTAGAATCTGTAAGTGGATACGTGGACCTCTTTGAAGATTTCTTTGGAAACGGGAATATTTCCACAGAAAAACTAAACTGAAGCATTCTCAGAAACTGCTTTGTGATGTTTGTGTTCGAGCCACAGAGTTTAACATTGCTTTTCATAGAGCAGTTTTGAAATATTCTTTTGGCAGAATCTGCAAATGGACTTTTGGAGCGCTTTCAGGCCTGTGGTGGAAAAGGCCTGAAAGCCTTTTCCTTTATCTTCACAGAAAGACGAGAGAGAAGCATTGTCAGAAACTTCTTTGGGATGATTGCATTCAACTCACAGAGTTGAAGATTCCTTTTGAAACAGCAGTTTCGAAACACTCTTTCTGTGGGATCCGCAAGGGGATATTTGGACCTCTTTGAAGGTTTCGTTGGAAACGGGATAATCTTCACCTAAAAGCTAAACGGAAGCATTCTCAGAAACTTCTTTGGGATGTTTGCATTCACCTCACACAGTTGAACTTTCCCTTTGATAGCGCAGCTTTGACACACTTTTTCTACAATGTGCAAGTGGCTATTTAGCGGGCTTGGAGGACTGTGTTGGAAAAGGAAATATCTTCTCCTAAAAACGACATAGAAGCATTCTCAGAAACTGCTCTGTGATGATTGCATTCAACTCCCAGAGTTGAACATTCCTTTTGATAGAGCAGTTTGCAAACACTCTTTTTGTAGAATCTGCAAGTGGAGATTTGGACCGCTTTGAGGCCTGTGGTAGTGAAGGAAAGAGCTTCATATAAAAACCAGACGGTAGCACTCTCAGAAAATTCTTTGTGACGATGGAGTTTAACTCAGGGAGCTGAACATTCGTTATGATGGAGCAGTTTCCAAACACACGTTTTGTAGAATCTGCAAGGGGATATTTGGACCTCTCTGAGGATTTCGTTGGAAACGGGATCAACTTCCCATAACTGAACGGAAGCAAACTCAGAACATTCTTTGTGATGTTTGTATTCAACTCACAGAGTTGAACCTTCCTTTGATAGTTCAGGTTTGCAACACCCTTGTAGTAGAATCTGCAAATGTATATTTTGACCACTTTGTAGCCTTCGTTTGAAACGTCTATATCTTCACATCAAACCTAGACAGAAGCATTCTCAGAAAGTTTTCTGCGATGACTGCATTCAACTCACAGAGTTGAACAATCCTTCTGATGGAGCAGTTTTGAAACCCTCTTTCTTTGGAATCTGCAAGGGGATATGTGGACCTCTTTGAAGATTTCACTGGAAACGGGATCATCTTCACATAAAAACTAAACAGAAGCATTCTCGGAAACTACTTTGTGATGTTTGTATTCAACTCCCAGAGTTGAACTTTCCTTTTGAAAGAGCAGCTATGAAACACTCTTTTTCGAGAATCTGCAAGTGGACGTTTGGAGGGCTTTGAGGCCTGTGGTGGAAAAGGAAATATCTTCACATAAAAACTAGATAGAAGCATTCTCAGAAACGACTTTGTGAGGATGGCATTCAACTCATGGAGTTGAACAATCCTATTGATAGAGCAGATTGGAATCACTCTTTTTGTAGAATCTGCAAATGGAGATTTGGACTGCTTTGAGGCCTACGGTCGTATAGGAAGGAACTTCATATAAAAGGCAAACGGAAGCATTCTCAGAATATTCTTTGTGATGATGGAGTTTCACTCACAGAGCTGAACATGCCTTTTGATGGAGCAGTTTCCAAATACACTTTTGGTAGAATCTGCAGGTGGATATTTGGACCTCTCTGAGGATTTCGTTGGAAACGGGAATAATTTCCCATAACTAAATACAAACACTCTGAGAAAGTTCTTCATGATGAATGCATTTAACTCGCAGAGATGAACCTGCCTTTGAGAGTTCATGTTCGAAACACTCTTTCTGTAGAATCTGCAAGTGGATATTTCGACCACTGGCTGGCCTTCGTTCGAAACGGGTATATGTTCACGTAAAAACTAAAGAGAAGCATTCTCAGAAACTGGTGAGTGATGATTGCATTCAAGTCACACAGTTGAACCCTCCTTTTGATGGAGCAGTTTTGAAACTGTCTTTTTGTAGAATCTGTAAGTGGATACGTGGACCTCTTTGAAGATTTCTTTGGAAACGGGAATATTTCCACAGAAAAACTAAACTGAAGCATTCTCAGAAACCGCTTTGTGATGTTTGTGTTCGAGCCACAGAGTTTAACATTGCTTTTCATAGAGCAGTTTTGAAA
Organism: Homo sapiens; assembly: GCF_000001405.40. Classification (NCBI taxonomy): domain Eukaryota; kingdom Metazoa; phylum Chordata; class Mammalia; order Primates; family Hominidae; genus Homo; species Homo sapiens. Next base: position 60,395,086 of record NC_000023.11, read on the forward strand.
TATTCTTTTCGCAGAATCTGCAAGTGGACATTTGGAGCGCTTTCAGGCCTGTGGTGGAAAAGGCCTGAAAGCCTTTTCCTTTATCTTCACAGAAAGACGAGAGAGAAGCATTGTCAGAAACTTCTTTGTGATGATTGCATTCAACTCACAGAGTTGAAGATTCCTTTTGAAACAGCAGTTTCGAAACACTCTTTCTGTGGGATCCGCAAGGGGATATTTGGACCTCTTTGAAGGTTTCGTTGGAAACGGGATAATCTTCACCTAAAAGCTAAACGGAAGCATTCTCAGAAACTTCTTTGGGATGTTTGCATTCACCTCACAGAGTTGAACTTTCCCTTTGATAGCGCAGCTTTGACACACTTTTTCTACAATGTGCAAGTGGCTATTTAGCGGGCTTGGGGTACTGTGTTGGAAAAGGAAATATCTTCTCCTAAAAACGACATAGAAGCATTCTCAGAAACTGCTCTGTGATGATTGCATTCAACTCCCAGAGTTGAACATTCCTTTTGATAGAGCAGTTTGCAAACACTCTTTTTGTAGAATCTGCAAGTGGAGATTTGGACCGCTTTCAGGCCTGTGGTAGTGAAGGAAAGAGCTTCATATAAAAACCAGACGGTAGCACTCTCAGAAAATTCTTTGTGACGATGGAGTTTAACTCAGGGAGCTGAACATTCCTTATGATGGAGCAGTTTCCAAACACACGTTTTGTAGAATCTGCGAGGGGATATTTGGACCTCTCTGAGGATTTCGTTGGAAACGGGATCAACTTCCCATAACTGAACGGAAGCAAACTCAGAACATTCTTTGTGATGTTTGTATTCAACTCACAGAGTTGAACCTTCCTTTGATAGTTCAGGTTTGCAACACCCTTGTAGTAGAATCTGCAAGTGTATATTTTGACCACTTTGTAGCCTTCGTTTGAAACGTCTATATCTTCACATCAAACCTAGAAAGAAGCATTCTCAGAAAGTTTTCTGCGATGACTGCATTCAACTCACAGAGTTGAACAATCCTTTTGATGGAGCAGTTTTGAAACCCTCTTTCTTTGGAATCTGCAAGGGGATATGTGGACCTCTTTGAAGATTTCACTGGAAACGGGATCATCTTCACATAAAAACTAAACAGAAGCATTCTCGGAAACTACTTTGTGATGTTTGTATTCAACTCCCAGAGTTGAACTTTCCTTTTGAAAGAGCAGCTATGAAACACTCTTTTTCGAGAATCTGCAAGTGGACGTTTGGAGGGCTTTGAGGCCTGTGGTGGAAAAGGAAATATCTTCACATAAAAACTAGATAGAAGCATTCTCAGAAACGACTTTGTGAGGATGGCATTCAACTCATGGAGTTGAACAATCCTATTGATAGAGCAGATTGGAATCACTCTTTTTGTAGAATCTGCAAATGGAGATTTGGACTGCTTTGAGGCCTACGGTAGTATAGGAAGGAACTTCATATAAAAGGCAAACGGAAGCATTCTCAGAATATTCTTTGTGATGATGGAGTTTCACTCACAGAGCTGAACATGCCTTTTGATGGAGCAGTTTCCAAATACACTTTTGGTAGAATCTGCAGGTGGATATTTGGACCTCTCTGAGGATTTCGTTGGAAACGGGAATAATTTCCCATAACTAAACACAAACACGCTGAGAAAGTTCTTCATGATGAATGCATTGAACTCGCAGAGATGAACCTGCCTTTGAGAGTTCAGGTTCGAAACACTCTTTCTGTAGAATCTGCAAGTGGATATTTGGACCACTGGCTGGCCTTCGTTCGAAACGGGTATATGTTCACGTAAAAACTAAAGAGAAGCGTTCTCAGAAACTTCTGAGTGATGATTGCATTCAAGTCACACAGTTGAACCCTCCTTTTGATTGAGCAGTTTTGAAACTGTCTTTTTGTAGAATCTGTAAGTGGATACGTGGACCTCTTTGAAGATTTCTTTGGAAACGGGAATATTTCCACAGAAAAACTAAACTGAAGCATTCTCAGAAACTGCTTTGTGATGTTTGTGTTCGAGCCACAGAGTTTAACATTGCTTTTCATAGAGCAGTTTTGAAATATTCTTTTGGCAGAATCTGCAAGTGGACATTTGGAGCGCTTTCAGGCCTGTGGTGGAAAAGGCCTGAAAGCCTTTTCCTTTATCTTCACAGAAAGATGAGAGAGAAGCATTGTCAGAAACTTCTTTGTGATGATTGCATTCAACTCACAGAATTGAAGATTCCTTTTGAAACAGCAGTTTCGGAACACTCTTTCTGTGGGATCCGCAGGGGGATATTTGGACCTCTTTGAAGATTTCGTTGGAAACGGGATAATCTTCACCAAAAAGCTAAACGGAAGCATTCTCAGAAACTTCTTTGGGATGTTTGCATTCACCTCACAGAGTTGAACTTTCCCTTTGATAGCACAGCTTTGACACACTTTTTCTACAATGTGCAAGTGGCTATTTAGCGGGCTTGGAGGACTGTGTTGGAAAAGGAAATATCTTCTCCTAAAAACGACATAGAAGCATTCTCAGAAACTGCTCTGTGATGATTGCATTCAACTCCCAGAGTTGAACATTCCTTTTGATAGAGCAGTTTGCAAACACTCTTTTTGTAGAATCTGCAAGTGGAGATTTGGACCGCTTTGAGGCCTGTGGTAGTGAAGGAAAGAACTTCATATAAAAACCAGACGGTAGCACTCTCAGAAAATTCTTTGTGACGATGGAGTTTAACTCAGGGAGCTGAACATTCGTTATGATGGAGCAGTTTCCAAACACACGTTTTGTAGAATCTGCGAGGGGATATTTGGACCTCTCTGAGGATTTCGTTGGAAACGGGATCAACTTCCCATAACTGAACGGAAGCAAACTCAGAACATTCTTTGTGATGTTTGTATTCAACTCACAGAGTTGAACCTTCCTTTGATAGTTCAGGTTTGCAACACCCTTGTAGTAGAATCTGCAAGTGTATATTTTGACCACTTTGTAGCCTTCGTTTGAAACGTCTATATCTTCACATCAAAACTAGACAGAAGCATTCTCAGAAAGTTTTCTGCGATGACTGCATTCAACTCACAGAGTTGAACAATCCTTCTGATGGAGCAGTTTTGAAACCCTCTTTCTTTGGAATCTGCAAGGGGATATGTGGACCTCTTTGAAGATTTCACTGGAAACGGGATCATCTTCACATAAAAACTAAACAGAAGCATTCTCGGAAACTACTTTGTGATGTTTGTATTCAACTCCCAGAGTTGAACTTTCCTTTTGAAAGAGCAGCTATGAAACACTCTTTTTCGAGAATCTGCAAGTGGACGTTTGGAGGGCTTTGAGGCCTGTGGTGGAAAAGGAAATATCTTCACATAAAAACTAGATAGAAGCATTCTCAGAAACGACTTTGTGAGGATGGCATTCAACTCATGGAGTTGAACAATCCTATTGATAGAGCAGATTGGAATCACTCTTTTTGTAGAATCTGCAAATGGAGATTTGGACTGCTTTGAGGCCTACGGTAGTATAGGAAGGAACTTCATATAAAAGGCAAACGGAAGCATTCTCAGAATATTCTTTGTGATGATGGAGTTTCACTCACAGAGCTGAACATGCCTTTTGATGGAGCAGTTTCCAAATACACTTTTGGTAGAATCTGCAGGTGGATATTTGGAGCTCTCTGAGGATTTCGTTGGAAACGGGAATAATTTCCCATAACTAAACACAAACACTCTGAGAAAGTTCTTCATGATGAATGCATTTAACTCGCAGAGATGAACCTGCCTTTGAGAGTTCAGGTTCGAAACACTCTTTCTGTATAATCTGCAAGTGGATATTTGGACCACTGGGTGGCCTTCGTTCGAAACGGGTATATGTTCACGTAAAAACTAAAGAGAAGCATTCTCAGAAACTTCTGAGTGATGATTGCATTCAAGTCACACGGTTGAACCCTCCTTTTGATGGAGCAGTTTTGAAACTGTCTTTTTGTAGAATCTGTAAGTGGATACGTGGACCTCTTTGAAGATTTCTTTGGAAACGGGAATATTTCCACAGAAAAACTAAACTGAAGCATTCTCAGAAACCGCTTTGTGATGTTTGTGTTCGAGCCGCAGAGTTTAACATTGCTTTTCATAGAGCAGTTTTGAAATATTCTTTTCGCAGAATCTGCAAGTGGACATTTGGAGCGCTTTCAGGCCTGTGGTGGAAAAGGCCTGAAAGCCTTTTCCTTTATCTTCACAGAAAGACGAGAGAGAAGCATTGTCAGAAACTTCTTTGTGATGATTGCATTCAACTCACAGAGTTGAAGATTCCTTTTGAAACAGCAGTTTCGAAACACTCTTTCTGTGGGATCCGCAAGGGAATATTTGGACCTCTTTGAAGGTTTCGTTGGAAACGGGATAATCTTCACCTAAAAGCTAAACGGAAGCATTCTCAGAAACTTCTTTGGGATGTTTGCATTCACCTCACAGAGTTGAACTTTCCCTTTGATAGCGCAGCTTTGACACACTTTTTCTACAATGTGCAAGTGGCTATTTAGCGGGCTTGGAGGACTGTGTTGGAAAAGGAAATATCTTCTCCTAAAAACGACATAGAAGCATTCTCAGAAACTGCTCTGTGATGATTGCATTCAACTCCCAGAGTTGAACATTCCTTTTGATAGAGCAGTTTGCAAACACTCTTTTTGTAGAATCTGCAAGTGGAGATTTGGACCGCTTTGAGGCCTGTGGTAGTGAAGGAAAGAACTTCATATAAAAACCAGACGGTAGCACTCTCAGAAAATTCTTTGTGACGATGGAGTTTAACTCAGGGAGCTGAACATTCGTTATGATGGAGCAGTTTCCAAACACACGTTTTGTAGAATCTGCAAGGGGATATTTGGACCTCTCTGAGGATTTCGTTGGAAACGGGATCAACTTCCCATAACTGAACGGAAGCAAACTCAGAACATTCTTTGTGATGTTTGTATTCAACTCACAGAGTTGAACCTTCCTTTGATAGTTCAGGTTTGCAACACCCTTGTAGTAGAATCTGCAAGTGTATATTTTGATCACTTTGTAGCCTTCGTTTGAAACGTCTATATCTTCACATCAAACCTAGACAGAAGCATTCTCAGAAAGTTTTCTGCGATGACTGCATTCAACTCACAGAGTTGAAGAATCCTTTTGATGGAGCAGTTTTGAAACCCTCTTTCTTTGGAATCTGCAAGGGGATATGTGGACCTCTTTGAAGATTTCACTGGAAACGGGATCATCTTCACATAAAAACTAAACAGAAGCATTCTCGGAAACTATTTTGTGATGTTTGTATTCAACTCCCAGAGTTGAACTTTCCTTTTGAAAGAGCAGCTATGAAACACTCTTTTTCGAGAATCTGCAAGTGGTCGTTTGGAGGGCTTTGAGGCCTGTGGTGGAAAAGGAAATATCTTCACACAAAAACCAGATAGAAGCATTCTCAGAAACTACTTTGTGAGGATGGCATTCAACTCATGGAGTTGAACAATCCTATTGATAGAGCAGATTGGAATCACTCTTTTTGTAGAATCTGCAAATGGAGATTTGGACTGCTTTGAGGCCTACGGTCGTATAGGAAGGAACTTCATATAAAAGGCAAACGGAAGCATTCTCAGAATATTCTTTGTGATGATGGAGTTTCACTCACAGAGCTGAACATGCCTTTTGATGGAGCAGTTTCCAAATACACTTTTGGTAGAATCTGCAGGTGGATATTTGGAGCTCTCTGAGGATTTCGTTGGAAACGGGAATAATTTCCCATAACTAAACACAAACACTCTGAGAAAGTTCTTCATGATGAATGCATTTAACTCGCAGAGATGAACCTGCCTTTGAGAGTTCAGGTTCGAAACACTCTTTCTGTATAATCTGCAAGTGGATATTTGGACCACTGGGTGGCCTTCGTTCGAAACGGGTATATGTTCACGTAAAAACTAAAGAGAAGCATTCTCAGAAACTTCTGAGTGATGATTGCATTCAAGTCACACGGTTGAACCCTCCTTTTGATGGAGCAGTTTTGAAACTGTCTTTTTGTAGAATCTGTAAGTGGATACGTGGACCTCTTTGAAGATTTCTTTGGAAACGGGAATATTTCCACAGAAAAACTAAACTGAAGCATTCTCAGAAACCGCTTTGTGATGTTTGTGTTCGAGCCACAGAGTTTAACATTGCTTTTCATAGAGCAGTTTTGAAATATTCTTTTCGCAGAATCTGCAAGTGGACATTTGGAGCGCTTTCAGGCCTGTGGTGGAAAAGGCCTGAAAGCCTTTTCCTTTATCTTCACAGAAAGACGAGAGAGAAGCATTGTCAGAAACTTCTTTGTGATGATTGCATTCAACTCACAGAGTTGAAGATTCCTTTTGAAACAGCAGTTTCGAAACACTCTTTCTGTGGGATCCGCAAGGGGATATTTGGACCTCTTTGAAGGTTTCGTTGGAAACGGGATAATCTTCACCTAAAAGCTAAACGGAAGCATTCTCAGAAACTTCTTTGGGATGTTTGCATTCACCTCACAGAGTTGAACTTTCCCTTTGATAGCGCAGCTTCGACACACTTTTTCTACAATGTGCAAGTGGCTATTTAGCGGGCTTGGAGGACTGTGTTGGAAAAGGAAATATCTTCTCCTAAAAACGACATAGAAGCATTCTCAGAAACTGCTCTGTGATGATTGCATTCAACTCCCAGAGTTGAACATTCCTTTTGATAGAGCAGTTTGCAAACACTCTTTATGTAGAATCTGGAAGTGGAGATTTGGACCGCTTTGAGGCCTGGGGTAGTGAAGGAAAGAGCTTCATATAAAAACCAGACGGTAGCACTCTCAGAAAATTCTTTGTGACGATGGAGTTTAACTCAGGGAGCTGAACATTCGTTATGATGGAGCAGTTTCCAAACACACGTTTTGTAGAATCTGCAAGGGGATATTTGGACCTCTCTGAGGATTTCGTTGGAAACGGGATCAACTTCCCATAACTGAACGGAAGCAAACTCAGAACATTCTTTGTGATGTTTGTATTCAACTCACAGAGTTGAACCTTCCTTTGATAGTTCAGGTTTGCAACACCCTTGTAGTAGAATCTGCAAGTGTATATTTTGACCACTTTGTAGCCTTCGTTTGAAACGTCTATATCTTCACATCAAACCTAGACAGAAGCATTCTCAGAAAGTTTTCTGCGATGACTGCATTCAACTCACAGAGTTGAACAATCCTTCTGATGGAGCAGTTTTGAAACCCTCTTTCTTTGGAATCTGCAAGGGGATATGTGGACCTCTTTGAAGATTTCACTGGAAACGGGATCATCTTCACATAAAAACTAAACAGAAGCATTCTCGGAAACTACTTTGTGATGTTTGTATTCAACTCCCAGAGTTGAACTTTCCTTTTGAAAGAGCAGCTATGAAACACTCTTTTTCGAGAATCTGCAAGTGGACGTTTGGAGGGCTTTGAGGCCTGTGGTGGAAAAGGAAATATCTTCACATAAAAACTAGATAGAAGCATTCTCAGAAACTACTTTGTGACGATGGCATTCAACTCATGGAGTTGAACAATCCTATTGATAGAGCAGATTGGAATCACTCTTTTTGTAGAATCTGCAAATGGAGATTTGGACTGCTTTGAGGCCTACGGTAGTATGGGAAGGAACTTCATATAAAAGGCAAACGGAAGCATTCTGAGAATATTCTTTGTGATGATGGAGTTTCACTCACAGAGCTGAACATGCCTTTTGATGGAGCAGTTTCCAAATACACTTTTGGTAGAATCTGCAGGTGGATATTTGGACCTCTCTGAGGATTTCGTTGGAAACGGGAATAATTTCCCATAACTAAACACAAACACTCTGAGAAAGTTCTTCATGATGAATGCATTGAACTCGCAGAGATGAACCTGCCTTTGAGAGTTCAGGTTCGAAACACTCTTTCTGTAGAATCTGCAAGTGGATATTTGGACCACTGGCTGGCCTTCGTTCGAAACGGGTATATGTTCACGTAAAAACTAAAGAGAAGCATTCTCAGAATCTTCTGAGTGATGATTGCTTTCAAGTCACACAGTTGAACCCTCCTTTTGATTGAGCAGTTTTGAAACTGTCTTTTTGTAGAATCTGTAAGTGGATACGTGGACCTCTTTGAAGATTTCTTTGGAAACGGGAATATTTCCACAGAAAAACTAAACTGAAGTATTCTCAGAAACTGCTTTGTGATGTTTGTGTTCGAGCCACAGAGTTTAACATTGCTTTTCATAGAGCAGTTTTGTAATATTCTTTTCGCAGTATCTGCAAGCGGATATTTGGAGCGCTTTCAGGCCTGTGGTGGAAAAGGCCTGAAAGCCTTTTCCTTTATCTTCACAGAAAGACGAGAGAGAAGCATTGTCAGAAACTTCTTTGTGATGATTGCATTCAACTCACAGAGTTGAAGATTCCTTTTGAAACAGCAGTTTCGAAACACTCTTTCTGTGGGATCCGCAAGGGGATATTTGGACCTCTTTGAAGATTTCGTTGGAAACGGGATAATCTTCACCTAAAACCTAAGCGGAAGCATTCTCAGAAACTTCTTTGGGATGTTTGCATTCACCTCACAGAGTTGAACTTTCCCTTTGATAGCGCAGCTTTGACACACTTTTTCTACAATGTGCAAGTGGATATTTAGCGGGCTTGGAGGACTGTGTTGGAAAAGGAAATATCTTCTCCTAAAAACGACATAGAAGCCTTCTCAGAAACTGCTCTGTGATGATTGCATTCAACTCCCAGAGTTGAACATTCCTTTTGATAGAGCAGTTTGCAGACACTCTTTTTGTAGAATCTGCAAGTGGAGATTTGGACCGCTTTGAGGCCTGTGGTAGTAAAGGAAAGAACTTCATATAAAAACTAGACGGTAGCACTCTCAGAAAATTCTTTGTGACGATGGAGTTTAACTCAGAGAGCTGAACATTCGTTATGATGGAGCAGTTTCCAAACACACGTTTTGTAGAATCTGCAAGGGGATATTTGGACCTCTCTGAGGATTTCGTTGGGAAGGGGATCAACTTCCCATAACTGAACGGAAGCAAACTCAGAACATTCTTTGTGATGTTTGTATTCAACCCACAGAGTTGAACCTTCCTTTGATAGTTCAGGTTTGCAACACCCTTGTAGTAGAATCTGCAAGTGTATATTTTGACCACTTTGTAGCCTTCGTTTGAAACGTCTATATCTTCACATCAAACCTAGACAGAAGCATTCTCAGAAAGTTTTCTGCGATGACTGCATTCAACTCACAGAGTTGAACAATCCTTTTGATGGAGCAGTTTTGAAACCCTCTTTCTTTGGAATCTGCAAGGGGATATGTGGACCTCTTTGAAGATTTCACTGGAAACGGGATCATCTTCACATAAGAACTAAACAGAAGCATTCTCGGAAACTATTTTGTGATGTTTGTATTCAACTCCCAGAGTTGAACTTTCCTTTTGAAAGAGCAGCTATGAAACACTCTTTTTCGAGAATCTGCAAGTGGACGTTTGGAGGGCTTTGAGGCCTGTGGTGGAAAAGGAAATATCTTCACACAAAAACCAGATAGAAGCATTCTCAGAAACTACTTTGTGAGGATGGCATTCAACTCATGGAGTTGAACAATCCTATTGATAGAGCAGATTGGAATCACTCTTTTTGTAGAATCTGCAAATGGAGATTTGGACTGCTTTGAGGCCTACGGTAGTACAGGAAGGAACTTCATATAAAAGGCAAACGGAAGCATTCTCAGAATATTCTTTGTGATGATGGAGTTTCACTCACAGAGCTGAACATGCCTTTTGATGGAGCAGTTTCCAAATACACTTTTGGTAGAATCTGCAGGTGGATATTTGGAGCTCTCTGAGGATTTCTTTGGAAACGGGAATAATTTCCCATAACTAAACACAAACACTCTGAGAAAGTTCTTCATGATGAATGCATTTAACTCGCAGAGATGAACCTGCCTTTGAGAGTTCAGGTTTCAAACACTCTTTCTGTATAATCTGCAAGTGGATATTTGGACCACTGGGTGGCCTTCGTTCGAAACGGGTATATGTTCACGTAAAAACTAAAGAGAAGCATTCTCAGAAACTTCTGAGTGATGATTGCATTCAAGTCGCACAGTTGAACCCGCCTTTTGATTGAGCAGTTTTGAAACTGTCTTTTTGTAGAATCTGTAAGTGGATTCGTGGACCTCTTGGAAGATTTCTTTGGAAACGGGAATATTTCCACAGAAAAACTAAACTGAAGCATTCTCAGAAACTGCTTTGTGATGTTTGTGTTCGAGCCACAGAGTTTAACATTGCTTCTCATAGAGCAGTTTCGAAATATTCTTTTGGCAGAATCTGCAAGTGGACATTTGGAGCGCTTTCAGGCCTGTGGTGGAAAAGGCCTGAAAGCCTTTTCCTTTATCTTCACAGAAAGACGGGAGAGAAGCATTGTCAGAAACTTCTTTGTGATGATTGCATTCAACTCACAGAGTTGAAGGTTCGTTTTGAAACAGCAGTTTCGAAACACTCTTTCTGTGGGATCCACAAGGGTATATTTGGATCTCTGGGAAGATTTCGTTGGAAACGGGATAATCTTCACCTAAAAGGTAAACGGAAGCATTCTCAGAAACTTCTTTAGGATGTTTGCATTCACCTCACAGAGTTGAACTTTCCCTTTGATAGCGCAGCTTTGACACACTTTTTCTACAATGTGCAAGTGGCTATTTAGCGGGCTTGGAGGACTGTGTTGGAAAAGGAAATATCTTCTCCTAAAAACGACATAGAAGCATTCTCAGAAACTACTCTGTGATGATTGCATTCAACTCCCAGAGTTGAACATTCCTTTTGATAGAGCAGTTTGCAAACACTCTTTTTGTAGAATCTGCAAGTGGAGATTTGGACCGCCTTGAGGCCTGTGGTAGTAAAGGAAAGAACTTCATATAAAAACTAGACGGTAGCACTCTCAGAAAATTCTTTGTGACGATGGAGTTTAACTCAGAGAGCTGAACATTCGTTATGATGGAGCAGTTTCCAAACACACGTTTTGCAGAATCTGCAAGGGGATATTTGGACCTCTCTGAGGATTTCGTTGGAAACGGGATCAACTTCCCATAACTGAACGGAAGCAAACTCAGAACATTCTTTGTGATGTTTGTATTCAACTCACAGAGTTGAACCTTCCTTTGATAGTTCAGGTTTGCATCACCCTTGTAGTAGAATCTGCAAGTGTATATTTTGACCACTTTGTAGCCTTCGTTTGAAACGTCTATATCTTCACATCAAACCTAGACAGAAGCATTCTCAGAAAGTTTTCTGCGATGACTGCATTCAACTCACAGAGTTGAACAATCCTTTTGATGGAGCAGTTTTGAAACCCTCTTTCTTTGGAATCTGCAAGGGGATATGTGGACCTCTTTGAAGATTTCACTGGAAACGGGATCATCTTCACATAAGAACTAAATAGAAGCATTCTCGGAAATTACTTTGTGATGTTTGTATTCAGCTCCCAGAGTTGAACTTTCCTTTTGAAAGAGCAGCTATGAAACACTCTTTTTCGAGAATCCGCAAGTGGACGTTTGGAGGGCTTTGAGGCCTGTGGTGGAAAAGGAAATATCTTCACATAAAAACTAGATAGAAGCATTCTCAGAAACGAGTTTGTGAGGATGGCATTCAACTCATGGAGTTGAACAGTCCTATTGATAGAGCAGATTGGAATCACTATTTTTGTAGAATCTGCAAATGGAGATTTGGACTGCTTTGAGGCCTACGGTAGTATAGGAAGGAACTTCATATAAAAGGCAAACGGAAGCATTCTCAGAATATTCTTTGTGATGATGGAGTTTCACTCACAGAGCTGAACATGCCTTTTGATGGAGCAGTTTCCAAATACACTTTTGGTAGAATCTGCTGGTGGATATTTGGACCTCTCTGAGGATTTCGTTGGAAACGGGAATAATTTCCCATAATTAAACACAAACACGCTGAGAACGTTCTTCATGATGAATGCATTTAACTCACAGAGATGAACCTTCCTTTGAGAGTTCAGGTTCGAAACACTCTTTCTGTAGAATCTGCAAGTGGATATTTGGACCACTGGGTGGCCTTCTTTCGAAACAGGTATATGTTCACGTAAAAACTAAAGAGAAGCGTTCTCAGAAACTTCTGAGTGATGATTGCATTCATGTCACACGGTTGAACCCTCCTTTTGATTGAGCAGTTTTGAAACTGTCTTTTTGTAGAATCTGTAATTGGATGCGTGGACCTCTTTGAAGATTTCTTTCGAAACGGGAATATTTCCACAGAAAAACTAAACTGAAGCATTCTCAGAGACTGCTTTGTGATGTTTGTGTTCAAGCCACAGAGTTTAACATTGCTTTTCATAGAGCAGTTTTGAAATATTCTTTTGGCAGAATCTGCAAGTGGACATTTGGAGCGCTTTCAGGCCTGTGGTGGAAAAGGCCTGAAAGCCTTTTCCTTTATCTTCACAGAAAGACGAGAGAGAAGCATTGTCAGAAACTTCTTTGTGATGATTGCATTCAACCCACAGAGTTGAAGATTCCTTTTGAAACAGCAGTTTCAAAACACTCTTTCTGTGGGATCCGCAAGGGGATATTTGGACCTCTTTGAAGATTTCGTTGGAAACGGGATAATCTTCACCTAAAAGCTAAACGGAAGCATTCTCAGAAACTTCTTTGGGATGTTTGCATTCACCTCACAGAGTTGAACTTTCCCTTTGATAGCGCAGCTTCGACACACTTTTTCTCCAATGTGCAAGTGGATATTTAGCGGGCTTGGAGGACTGTGTTGGAAAAGGAAATATCTTCTCCTAAAAACGACATAGAAGCATTCTCAGAAACTGCTCTGTGATGATTGCATTCAACTCCCAGAGTTGAACATTCCTTTTGATAGAGCAGTTTGCAAACACTCTTTTTGTAGAATCTGCAAGTGGAGATTTGGACCGCTTTGAGGCCTGTGGTAGTAAAGGAAAGAACTTCATATAAAAACCAGACGGTAGCACTCTCAGAAAATTCTTTGTGACGATGGAGTTTAACTCAGAGAGCTGAACATTCGTTATGATGGAGCAGTTTCCAAACACACGTTTTGTAGAATCTGCAAGGGGATATTTGGACCTCTCTGAGGATTTCGTTGGAAACGGGATCAACTTCCCATAACTGAACGGAAGCAAACTCAGAACATTCTTTGTGATGTTTGTATTCAACTCACAGAGTTGAACCTTCCTTTGATAGTTGAGGTTTGCAACACCCTTGTAGTAGAATCTGCAAGTGTATATTTTGACCACTTTGTAGCCTTCGTTTGAAACGTCTATATCTTCACCTCAAACCTAGACAGAAGCATTCTCAGAAAGTTTTCTGCGATGACTGCATTCAACTCACAGAGTTGAACAATCCTTTTGATGGAGCAGTTTTGAAACCCTCTTTCTTTGGAATCTGCAAGGGGATATGTGGACCTCTTTGAAGATTTCACTGGAAACGGGATCATCTTCACATAAGAACTAAACAGAAGCATTCTCGGAAACTACTTTGTGATGTTTGTATTCAACTCCCAGAGTTGAACTTTCCTTTTGAAAGAGCAGCTATGAAACACTCTTTTTCGAGAATCTGCAAGTGGACGTTTGGAGGGCTTTGAGGCCTGTGGTGGAAAAGGAAATATCTTCACATAAAAACTAGATAGAAGCATTCTCAGAAACGACTTTGTGAGGATGGCATTCAACTCATGGAGTTGAACAGTCCTATTGATAGAGCAGATTGGAATCACTCTTTTTGTAGAATCTGCAAATGGAGATTTGGACTGCTTTGAGGCCTACGGTCGTATAGGAAGGAACTTCATATAAAAGGCAAACGGAAGCATTCTCAGAATATTCTTTGTGATGATGGAGTTTCACTCACAGAGCTGAACATGCCTTTTGATGGAGCAGTTTCCAAATACACTTTTGGTAGAATCTGCAGGTGGATATTTGGAGCTCTCTGAGGATTTCGTTGGAAACGGTAATAATTTCCCATAAATAAACACAAACACGCTGAGAAAGTTCTTCATGATGAATGCATTTAACTCGCAGAGATGAACCTGCCTTTGAGAGTTCAGGTTCGAAACACTCTTTCTGTAGAATCTGCAAGTGGATATTTGGACCACTGGCTGGCCTTCGTTCGAAACGGGTATATGTTCACGTAAAAACTAAAGAGAAGCGTTCCCAGAAACTTCTGAGTGATGATTGCATTCAAGTCACACAGTTGAACCCTCCTTTTGATTGAGCAGTTTTGAAACTGTCTTTTTGTAGAATCTGTAAGTGGATGCGTGGACCTCTTTGAAGATTTCTTTGGAAACGGGAATATTTCCACAGAAAAAGTAAACTGAAGCATTCTCTGAAACTGCTTTGTGATGTTTGTGTTCGAGCCGCAGAGTTTAACATTGCTTTTCATAGAGCAGTTTTGAAATATTCTTTTGGCAGAATCTGCAAGTGGACATTTGGAGCGCTTTCAGGCCTGTGGTGGAAAAGGCCTGAAAGCATTTTCCTTTATCTTCATAGAAAGACGAGAGAGAAGCATTGTCAGAAACTTCTTTGTGATGATTGCATTCAACTCACAGAGTTGAAGATTCCTTTTGAAACAGCAGTTTCGAAACACTCTTTCTGTGGGATCCGCAAGGGGATATTTGGACTTCTTTGAAGATTTCGTTGGAAACGGGATAATCTTCACCTAAAAGCTAAACGGAAGCATTCTCAGAAACTTCTTTGGGATGTTTGCATTCACCTCACAGAGTTGAACTTTCCCTTTGATAGCGCAGCTTCGACACACTTTTTCTACAATGTGCAAGTGGATATTTAGCGGGCTTGGAGGACTGTGTTGGAAAAGGAAATATCTTCTCCTAAAAACGACATAGAAGCATTCTCAGAAACTGCTCTGTGATGATTGCATTCAACTCCCAGAGTTGAACATTCCTTTTGATAGAGCAGTTTGCAAACACTCTTTTTGTAGAATCTGCAAGTGGAGATTTGGACCGCTTTGAGGCCTGTGGTAGTAAAGGAAAGAACTTCATATAAAACTAGACGGTAGCACTCTCAGAAAATTCTTTGTGACGATGGAGTTTAACTCAGAGAGCTGAACATTCGTTATGATGGAGCAGTTTCCAAACACACGTTTTGTAGAATCTGCAAGGGGATATTTGGACCTCTCTGAGGATTTCGTTGGAAACGGGATCAACTTCCCATAACTGAACGGAAGCAAACTCAGAACATTCTTTGTGATGTTTGTATTCAACTCACAGAGTTGAACCTTCCTTTGATAGTTCAGGTTTGCATCACCCTTGTAGTAGAATCTGCAAGTGTATATTTTGACCACTTTGTAGCCTTCGTTTGAAACGTCTATATCTTCACATCTAACCTAGACAGAAGCATTCTCAGAAAGTTTTCTGCGATGACTGCATTCAACTCACAGAGTTGAACAATCCTTTTGATGGAGCAGTTTTGAAACCCTCTTTCTTTGGAATCTGCAAGGGGATATGTGGACCTCTTTGAAGATTTCACTGGAAACGGGATCATCTTCACATAAGAACTAAACAGAAGCATTCTCGGAAACTACTTTGTGATGTTTGTATTCAGCTCCCAGAGTTGAACTTTCCTTTTGAAAGAGCAGCTATGAAACACTCTTTTTCGAGAATCTGCAAGTGGACGTTTGGAGGGCTTTGAGGCCTGTGGTGGAAAAGGAAATATCTTCACATAAAAACTAGATAGAAGCATTCTCAGAAACTACTTTGTGAGGATGGCATTCAACTCATGGAGTTGAACAGTCCTATTGATAGAGCAGATTGGAATCACTCTTTTTGTAGAATCTGCAAATGGAGATTTGGACTGCTTTGAGGCCTACGGTAGTATAGGAAGGAACTTCATATAAAAGGCAAACGGAAGCATTCTCAGAATATTCTTTGTGATGATGGAGTTTCACTCACAGAGCTGAACATGCCTTTTGATGGAGCAGTTTCCAAATACACTTTTGGTAGAATCTGCAGGTGGATATTTGGAGCTCTCTGAGGATTTCGTTGGAAACGGGAATAATTTCCCATAACTAAACACAAACACTCTGAGAAAGTTCTTCATGATGAATGCATTTAACTCGCAGAGATGAACCTGCCTTTGAGAGTTCAGGTTCGAAACACTCTTTCTGTAGAATCTGCAAGTGGATATTTGGACCACTGGGTGGCCTTCGTTCGAAACGGGTATATGTTCACGTAAAAACTAAAGAGAAGCATTCTCAGAAACTTCTGAGTGATGATTGCATTCAAGTCACACGGTTGAACCCTCCTTTTGATGGAGCAGTTTTGAAACTGTCTTTTTGTAGAATCTGTAAGTGGATACGTGGACCTCTTTGAAGATTTCTTTGGAAACGGGAATATTTCCACAGAAAAACTAAACTGAAGTATTCTCAGAAACTGCTTTGTGATGTTTGTGTTCGAGCCACAGAGTTTAACATTGCTTTTCATAGAGCAGTTTTGAAATATTCTTTTCACAGAATCTGCAAGTGGACATTTGGAGCGCTTTCAGGCCTGTGGTGGAAAAGGCCTGAAAGCCTTTTCCTTTATCTTCACAGAAAGACGAGAGAGAAGCATTGTCAGAAACTTCTTTGTGATGATTGCATTCAACTCACAGAGTTGAAGATTCCTTTTGAAACAGCAGTTTCGAAACACTCTTTCTGTGGGATCCGCAAGGGGATATTTGGACCTCTTTGAAGGTTTCGTTGGAAACGGGATAATCTTCACCTAAAAGCTAAACGGAAGCATTCTCAGAAACTTCTTTGGGATGTTTGCATTCACCTGACAGAGTTGAACTTTCCCTTTGATAGCGCAGCTTTGACACACTTTTTCTACAATGTGCAAGTGGCTATTTAGCGGGCTTGGAGGACTGTGTTGGAAAAGGAAATATCTTCTCCTAAAAACGACATAGAAGCATTCTCAGAAACTGCTCTGTGATGATTGCATTCAACTCCCAGAGTTGAACATTCCTTTTGATAGAGCAGTTTGCAAACACTCTTTTTGTAGAATCTGCAAGTGGAGATTTGGACCGCTTTGAGGCCTGTGGTAGTGAAGGAAAGAACTTCATATAAAAACCAGACGGTAGCACTCTCAGAAAATTCTTTGTGACGATGGAGTTTAACTCAGGGAGCTGAACATTCGTTATGATGGAGCAGTTTCCAAACACACGTTTTGTAGAATCTGCGAGGGGATATTTTGACCTCTCTGAGGATTTCATTGGAAACGGGATCAACTTCCCATAACTGAACGGAAGCAAACTCAGAACATTCTTTGTGATGTTTGTATTCAACTCACAGAGTTGAACCTTCCTTTGATAGTTCAGGTTTGCAACACCCTTGTAGTAGAATCTGCAAGTGTATATTTTGACCACTTTGTAGCCTTCGTTTGAAACGTCTATATCTTCACATCAAACCTAGACAGAAGCATTCTCAGAAAGTTTTCTGTGAGGACTGCATTCAACTCACAGAGTTGAACAATCCTTTTGATGGAGCAGTTTTGAAACCCTCTTTCTTTGGAATCTGCAAGGGGATATGTGGACCTCTTTGAAGATTTCACTGGAAACGGGATCATCTTCACATGAGAACTAAACAGAAGCATTCTCGGAAACTACTTTGTGATGTTTGTATTCACCTCCCAGAGTTGAACTTTCCTTTTGAAAGAGCAGCTATGAAACACTCTTTTTCTAGAATCTGCAAGTGGACGTTTGGAGGGCTTTGAGGCCTGTGGTGGAAAAGGAAATATCTTCACATAAAAACTAGATAGAAGCATTCTCAGAAACTACTTTGTGAGGATGGCATTCAACTCATGGAGTTGAACAATCCTATTGATAGAGCAGATTGGAATCACTCTTTTTGTAGAATCTGCAAATGGAGATTTGGACTGCTTTGAGGCCTATGGTAGAATAGGAAGGAACTTCATATAAAAGGCAAACGGAAGCATTCTCAGAATATTCTTTGTGATGATGGAGTTTCACTCACAGAGCTGAACATGCCTTTTGATGGAGCAGTTTCCAAATACACTTTTGGTAGAATCTGCAGGTGGATATTTGGACATCTCTGAGGATTTCGTTGGAAACGGGAATAATTTCCCATAACTGAACACAAACACTCTGAGAAAGTTCTTCATGATGAATGCATTTAACTCGCAGAGATGAACCTGCCTTTGAGAGTTCAGGTTCGAAACACTCTTTCTGTAGAATCTGCAAGTGGATATTTGGACCACTGGCTGGCCTTCGTTCGAAACGGGTATATGTTCACGTAAAAACTAAAGAGAAGCATTCTCAGAAACTTCTGAGTGATGAATGCATTCAAGTCACACAGTTGAACCCTCCTTTTGATTGAGCAGTTTTGAAACTGTCTTTTTGTAGAATCTGTAAGTGGATGCGTGGACCTCTTTGAAGATTTCTTTGGAAACGGGAATATTTCCACAGAAAAACTAAACTGAAGCATTCTCAGAAACTGCTTTGTGATGTTTGTGTTCGAGCCGCAGAGTTTAACATTGCTTTTCATAGAGCAGTTTTGAAATATTCTTTTGGCAGAATCTGCAAGTGGACATTTGGAGCGCTTTCAGGCCTGTGGTGGAAATGGCCTGAAAGCCTTTTCCTTTATCTTCACAGAAAGACGAGAGAGAAGCATTGTCAGAAACTTCTTTGTGATGATTGCATTCAACTCACAGAGTTGAAGATTCCTTTTGAAACAGCAGTTTCGAAACACTCTTTCTGTGGGATCCGCAAGGGGATATTTGGACCTCTTTGAAGATTTCGTTGGAAACGGGATAATCTTCACTTAAAGCTAAACGGAAGCATTCTCAGAAACTTCTTTGGGATGTTTGCATTCACCTCACAGAGTTGAACTTTCCCTTTGATAGCGCAGCTTCGACACACTTTTTCTACAATGTGCAAGTGGATATTTAGCGGGCTTGGAGGACTGTGTTGGAAAAGGAAATATCTTCTCCTAAAAACGACATAGAAGCATTCTCAGAAACTGCTCTGTGATGATTGCATTCAACTCCCAGAGTTGAACATTCCTTTTGATAGAGCAGTTTGCAAACACTCTTTTTGTAGAATCTGCAAGTGGAGATTTGGACCGCTTTGAGGCCTGTGGTAGTAAAGGAAAGAACTTCATATAAAAACTAGACGGTAGCACTCTCAGAAAATTCTTTGTGACGATGGAGTTCAACTCAGAGAGCTGAACATTCGTTATGATGGAGCAGTTTCCAAACACACGTTTTGTAGAATCTGCAAGGGGA
Source organism: Homo sapiens (assembly GCF_000001405.40). Classification (NCBI taxonomy): domain Eukaryota; kingdom Metazoa; phylum Chordata; class Mammalia; order Primates; family Hominidae; genus Homo; species Homo sapiens. Next base: position 60,414,322 of record NC_000023.11, read on the forward strand.
TATTTGGACCTCTCTGAGGATTTCGTAGGAAACGGGATCAACTTCCCATAACTGAACGGAAGCAAACTCAGAACATTCTTTGTGATGTTTGTATTCAACTCACAGAGTTGAACTTTCCTTTGATAGTTGAGGTTTGCATCACCCTTGTAGTAGAATCTGCAAGTGTATATTTTGAACACTTTGTAGCCTTCATTTGAAACGTCTATATCTTCACATCAAACCTAGACAGAAGCATTCTCAGAAAGTTTTCTGCGATGACTGCATTCAACTCACAGAGTTGAACAATCCTTTTGATGGAGCAGTTTTGAAACCCTCTTTCTTTGGAATCTGCAAGGGGATATGTGGACCTCTTTGAAGATTTCACTGGAAACGGGATCATCTTCACATAAGAACTAAACAGAAGCATTCTCGGAAACTACTTTGTGATGTTTGTATTCAACTCCCACAGTTGAAATTTCCTTTTGAAAGAGCAGCTATGAAACACTCTTTTTCGAGAATCTGCAAGTGGACGTTTGGAGGGCTTTGAGGCCTGTGGTGGAAAAGGAAATATCTTCACATAAAAACTACATAGAAGCATTCTCAGAAACTACTTTGTGAGGATGGCATTCAACTCATGGAGTTGAACAATCATATTGATAGAGCAGATTGGAATCACTCTTTTTGTAGAATCTGCAAATGGAGATTTGGACTGCTTTGAGGCCTACGGTAGTATAGGAAGGAACTTCATATAAAAGGCAAACGGAAGCATTCTCAGAATATTCTTTGTGATGATGGAGTTTCACTCACAGAGCTGAACATGCCTTTTGATGGAGCAGTTTCCAAATAGACTTTTGGTAGAATCTGCAGGTGGATATTTGGAGCTCTCTGAGGATTTCGTTGGAAACGGGAATAATTTCCCATAACTAAACACAAACACGCTGAGAAAGTTCTTCATGATGAATGCATTTAACTCGCAGAGATGAACCTGCCTTTGAGAGTTCAGGTTCAAAACACTCTTTCTGTAGAATCTGCAAGTGGATATTTGGACCACTGGCTGGCCTTCGTTCGAAACGGGTATATGTTCACGTAAAAACTAAAGAGAAGCATTCTCAGAAACTTCTGAGTGATGATTGCATTCAAGTCACACAGTTGAACCCTCCTTTTGATGGAGCAGTTTTGAAACTGTCTTTTTGTAGAATCTGTAAGTGGATACAGTGGACCTCTTTGAAGATTTCTTTGGAAACGGGAATATTTCCACAGAAAAACTAAACTGAAGCATTCTCAGAAACTGCTTTGTGATGTTTGTGTTCGAGCCGCAGAGTTTAACATTGCTTTTCATAGAGCAGTTTTGAAATATTCTTTTGGCAGAATCTGCAAGTGGACATTTGGAGCGCTTTCAGGCCTGTGGTGGAAAAGGCCTGAAAGCCTTTTCCTTTATCTTCACAGAAAGACGAGAGAGAAGCATTGTCAGAAACTTCTTTGTGATGATTGCATTCAACTCACAGAGTTGAAGATTCCTTTTGAAACAGCAGTTTCGAAACACTCTTTCTGTGGGATCCGCAAGGGGATATTTGGACCTCTTTGAAGGTTTCGTTGGAAACGGGATAATCTTCACCTAAAAGCTAAACGGAAGCATTCTCAGAAACTTCTTTTGGATGTTTGCATTCACCTCACAGAGTTGAATTTTCCCTTTGATAGCGCAGCTTCGACACACTTTTTCTACAATGTGCAAGTGGATATTTAGCGGGCTTGGAGGACTGTGTTGGAAAAGGAAATATCTTCTCCTAAAAACGACATAGAAGCATTCTCAGAAACTGCTCTGTGATGATTGCATTCAACTCCCAGAGTTGAACATTCCTTTTGATAGAGCAGTTTGCAAACACTCTTTTTGTAGAATCTGCAAGTGGAGATTTGGACCGCTTTGAGGCCTGTGGTAGTAAAGGAAACAACTTCATATAAAAACCAGACGGTAGCACTCTCAGAAAATTCTTTGTGACGATGGAGTTTAACTCAGAGAGCTGAACATCCGTTATGATGGAGCAGTTTCCAAACACACGTTTTGTAGAATCTGCAAGGGGATATTTGGACCTCTCTGAGGATTTCGTTGGAAACGGGATCAACTTCCCATAACTGAACGGAAGCAAACTCAGAACATTCTTTGTGATGTTTGTATTCAACTCACAGAGTTGAACCTTCCTTTGATAGTTGAGGTTTGCATCACCCTTGTAGTAGAATCTGCAAGTGTATATTTTGACCACTTTGTAGCCTTCGTTTGAAACGTCTATATCTTCACATCAAACCTAGACAGAAGCATTCTCAGAAAGTTTTCTGCGATGACTGCATTCAACTCACAGAGTTGCACAATCCTTTTGATGGAGCAGTTTTGAAACCCTCTTTCTTTGGAATCTGCAAGGGGATATATGGACCTCTTTGAAGATTTCACTGGAAACGGGATCATCTTCACATAACAACTAAACAGAAGCATTCTCGGAAACTACTTTGTGATGTTTGTATTCAACTCCCAGAGTTGAACTTTCCTTTTGAAAGAGCAGCTATGAAACACTCTTTTTCGAGAATCTGCAAGTGGACGTTTGGAAGGCTTTGAGGCCTGTGGTGGAAAAGGAAATATCTTCACATAAAAACTAGATAGAAGCATTCTCAGAAACGACTTGGTGAGGATGGCATTCAACTCATGGAGTTGAACAATCCTATTGATAGAGCAGATTGGAATCACTCTTTTTGTAGAATCTGCAAATGGAGATTTGGACTGCTTTGAGGCCTACGGTCGTATAGGAAGGAACTTCATATAAAAGGCAAACGGAAGCATTCTCAGAATATTCTTTGTGATGATGGAGTTTCACTCACAGAGCTGAACATGCCTTTTGATGGAGCAGTTTCCAAATACACTTTTGGTAGAATCTGCAGGTGGATATTTGGAGCTCTCTGAGGATTTCGTTGGAAACGGGAATAATTTCCCATAACTAAACACAAACACTCTGAGAAAGTTCTTCATGATGAATGCATTTAACTCGCAGAGATGAACCTGCCTTTGAGAGTTCAGGTTCGAAACACTCTTTCTGTAGAATCTGCAAGTGGATATTTGGACCACTGGGTGGCCTTCGTTCGAAACGGGTATATGTTCACGTAAAAACTAAAGAGAAGCATTCTCAGAAACTTCTGAGTGATGATTGCATTCAAGTCACACAGTTGAACCCTCCTTTTGATGGAGCAGTTTTGAAACTGTCTTTTTGTAGAATCTGTAAGTGGATACGTGGACCTCTTTGAAGATTTCTTTGGAAACGGGAATATTTCCACAGAAAAACTAAACTGAAACATTCTCAGAAACCGCTTTGTGATGTTTGTGTTCCAGCCACAGAGTTTAACATTGCTTTTCATAGAGCAGTTTTGAAATATTCTTTTGGCAGAATCTGCAAGTGGACATTTGGAGCGCTTTCAGGCCTGTGGTGGCAAAGGCCTGAAAGCCTTTTCCTTTATCTTCACAGAAAGACGAGAGAGAAGCATTGTCAGAAACTTCTTTGTGATGATTGCATTCAACTCACAGAGTTGAAGATTCCTTTTGAAACAGCAGTTTCGAAACACTCTTTCTGTGGGATCCGCAAGGGGATATTTGGACCTCTTTGAAGGTTTCGTTGGAAACGGGATAATCTTCACCTAAAAGCTAAACGGAAGCATTCTCAGAAACTTCTTTGGGATGTTTGCATTCACCTCACAGAGTTGAACTTTCCCTTTGATAGCGCAGCTTTGACACACTTTTTCTACAATGTGCAAGTGGCTATTTAGCGGGCTTGGAGGACTGTGTTGGAAAAGGAAATATCTTCTCCTAAAAACGACATAGAAGCATTCTCAGAAACTGCTCTGTGATGATTGCATTCAACTCCCAGAGTTGAACATTCCTTTTGATAGAGCAGTTTGCAAACACTCTTTTTGTAGAATCTGCAAGTGGAGATTTGGACCGCTTTGAGGCCTGTGGTAGTGAAGGAAAGAACTTCATATAAAAACCAGACGGTAGCACTCTCAGAAAATTCTTTGTGACGATGGAGTTTAACTCAGGGAGCTGAACATTCGTTATGATGGAGCAGTTTCCAAACACACGTTTTGTAGAATCTGCAAGGGGATATTTGGACCTCTCTGAGGATTTCGTTGGAAACGGGATCAACTTCCCATAACTGAACGGAAGCAAACTCAGAACATTCTTTGTGATGTTTGTATTCAACTCACAGAGTTGAACCTTCCTTTGATAGTTCAGGTTTGCAACACCCTTGTAGTAGAATCTGCAAGTGTATATTTTGACCACTTTGTAGCCTTCGTTTGAAACGTCTATATCTTCACATCAAACCTAGACAGAAGCATTCTCAGAAAGTTTTCTGCGATGACTGCATTCAACTCACAGAGTTGAACAATCCTTCTGATGGAGCAGTTTTGAAACCCTCTTTCTTTGGAATCTGCAAGGGGATATGTGGACCTCTTTGAAGATTTCACTGGAAACGGGATCATCTTCACATAAAAACTAAACAGAAGCATTCTCGGAAACTACTTTGTGATGTTTGTATTCAACTCCCAGAGTTGAACTTTCCTTTTGAAAGAGCAGCTATGAAACACTCTTTTTCGAGAATCTGCAAGTGGACGTTTGGAGGGCTTTGAGGCCTGTGGTGGAAAAGGAAATATCTTCACATAAAAACTAGATAGAAGCATTCTCAGAAACTACTTTGTGAGGATGGCATTCAACTCATGGAGTTGAACAATCCTATTGATAGAGCAGATTGGAATCACTCTTTTTGTAGAATCTGCAAATGGAGATTTGGACTGCTTTGAGGCCTACGGTCGTATAGGAAGGAACTTCATATAAAAGGCAAACGGAAGCATTCTCAGAATATTCTTTGTGATGATGGAGTTTCACTCACAGAGCTGAACATGCCTTTTGATGGAGCAGTTTCCAAATACACTTTTGATAGAATCTGCAGGTGGATATTTGGACCTCTCTGAGGATTTCGTTGGAAACGGGAATAATTTCCCATAACTAAACACAAACACTCTGAGAAAGTTCTTCATGATGAATGCATTTAACTCGCAGAGATGAACCTGCCTTTGAGAGTTCAGGTTCGAAACACTCTTTCTGTAGAATCTGCAAGTGGATATTTGGACCACTGGCTGGCCTTCGTTCGAAACGGGTATATGTTCACGTAAAAACTAAAGAGAAGCATTCTCAGAAACTTCTGAGTGATGATTACATTCAAGTCACACAGTTGAACCCTCCTTTTGATGGAGCAGTTTTGAAACTGTCTTTTTGTAGAATCTGTAAGTGGATACGTGGACCTCTTTGAATATTTCTTTGGAAACGGGAATATTTCCACAGAAAAACTAAACTGAAGCATTCTCAGAAACTGCTTTGTGATGTTTGTGTTCGAGCCACAGAGTTTAACATTGCTTTTCATAGAGCAGTTTTGAAATATTCTTTTGGCAGAATCTGCAAGTGGACATTTGGAGCGCTTTCAGGCCTGTGGTGGAAAAGGCCTGAAAGCCTTTTCCTTTATCTTCACAGAAAGACGAGAGAGAAGCATTGTCAGAAACTTCTTTGTGATGATTGCATTCAACTCACAGAGTTGAAGATTCCTTTTGAAACAGCAGTTTCGAAACACTCTTTCTGTGGGATCCGCAAGGGGATATTTGGACCTCTTTGAAGGTTTCGTTGGAAACGGGATAATCTTCACCTAAAAGCTAAACGGAAGCATTCTCAGAAACTTCTTTGGGATGTTTGCATTCACCTCACAGAGTTGAACTTTCCCTTTGATAGCGCAGCTTCGACACACTTTTTCTACAATGTGCAAGTGGCTATTTAGCGGGCTTGGAGGACTGTGTTGGAAAAGGAAATATCTTCTCCTAAAAACGACATAGAAGCATTCTCAGAAACTGCTCTGTGATGATTGCATTCAACTCCCAGAGTTGAACATTCCTTTTGATAGAGCAGTTTGCAAACACTCTTTTTGTAGAATCTGCAAGTGGAGATTTGGACCGCTTTGAGGCCTGTGGTAGTGAAGGAAAGAACTTCATATAAAAACCAGACGGTAGCACTCTCAGAAAATTCTTTGTGACGATGGAGTTTAACTCAGGGAGCTGAACATTCGTTATGATGGAGCAGTTTCCAAACACACGTTTTGTAGAATCTGCAAGGGGATATTTGGACCTCTCTGAGGATTTCGTTGGAAACGGGATCAACTTCCCATAACTGAACGGAAGCAAACTCAGAACATTCTTTGTGATGTTTGTATTCAACTCACAGAGTTGAACCTTCCTTTGATAGTTCAGGTTTGCAACACCCTTGTAGTAGAATCTGCAAGTGTATATTTTGACCACTTTGTAGCCTTCGTTTGAAACGTCTATATCTTCACATCAAACCTAGACAGAAGCATTCTCAGAAAGTTTTCTGCGATGACTGCATTCAACTCACAGAGTTGAAGAATCCTTTTGATGGAGCAGTTTTGAAACCCTCTTTCTTTGGAATCTGCAAGGGGATATGTGGACCTCTTTGAAGATTTCACTGGAAACGGGATCATCTTCACATAAAAACTAAACAGAAGCATTCTCGGAAACTATTTTGTGATGTTTGTATTCAACTCCCAGAGTTGAACTTTCCTTTTGAAAGAGCAGCTATGAAACACTCTTTTTCGAGAATCTGCAAGTGGTCGTTTGGAGGGCTTTGAGGCCTGTGGTGGTAAAGGAAATATCTTCACACAAAAACCAGATAGAAGCATTCTCAGAAACTACTTTGTGAGGATGGCATTCAACTCATGGAGTTGAACAATCCTATTGATAGAGCAGATTGGAATCACTCTTTTTGTAGAATCTGCAAATGGAGATTTGGACTGCTTTGAGGCCTACGGTCGTATAGGAAGGAACTTCATATAAAAGGCAAACGGAAGCATTCTCAGAATATTCTTTGTGATGATGGAGTTTCACTCACAGAGCTGAACATGCCTTTTGATGGAGCAGTTTCCAAATACACTTTTGGTAGAATCTGCAGGTGGATATTTGGAGCTCTCTGAGGATTTCGTTGGAAACGGGAATAATTTCCCATAACTAAACACAAACACTCTGAGAAAGTTCTTCATGATGAATGCATTTAACTCGCAGAGATGAACCTGCCTTTGAGAGTTCAGGTTCGAAACACTCTTTCTGTAGAATCTGCAAGTGGATATTTGGACCACTGGCTGGCCTTCGTTCGAAACGGGTATATGTTCACGTAAAAACTAAAGAGAAGCATTCTCAGAAACTTCTGAGTGATGATTGCATTCAAGTCACACAGTTGAACCCTCCTTTTGATGGAGCAGTTTTGAAACTGTCTTTTTGTAGAATCTGTAAGTGGATACGTGGACCTCTTTGAAGATTTCTTTGGAAACGGGAATATTTCCACAGAAAAACTAAACTGAAACATTCTCAGAAACCGCTTTGTGATGTTTGTGTTCCAGCCACAGAGTTTAACATTGCTTTTCATAGAGCAGTTTTGAAATATTCTTTTCGCAGAATCTGCAAGTGGACATTTGGAGCGCTTTCAGGCCTGTGGTGGAAAAGGCCTGAAAGCCTTTTCCTTTATCTTCACAGAAAGACGAGAGAGAAGCATTGTCAGAAACTTCTTTGTGATGATTGCATTCAACTCACAGAGTTGAAGATTCCTTTTGAAACAGCAGTTTTGAAACACTCTTTCTGTGGGATCCGCAAGGGGATATTTGGACCTCTTTGAAGGTTTCGTTGGAAACGGGATAATCTTCACCTAAAAGCTAAACGGAAGCATTCTCAGAAACTTCTTTGGGATGTTTGCATTCACCTCACAGAGTTGAACTTTCCCTTTGATAGCGCAGCTTTGACACACTTTTTCTACAATGTGCAAGTGGCTATTTAGTGGGCTTGGAGGACTGTGTTGGAAAAGGAAATATCTTCTCCTAAAAACGACATAGAAGCATTCTCAGAAACTGCTCTGTGATGATTGCATTCAACTCCCAGAGTTGAACATTCCTTTTGATAGAGCAGTTTGCAAACACTCTTTTTGTAGAATCTGCAAGTGGAGATTTGGACCGCTTTGAGGCCTGTGGTAGTGAAGGAAAGAACTTCATATAAAAACCAGACGGTAGCACTCTCAGAAAATTCTTTGTGACGATGGAGTTTAACTCAGGGAGCTGAACATTCGTTTTGATGGAGCAGTTTCCAAACACACGTTTTGTAGAATCTGCGAGGGGATATTTGGACCTCTCTGAGGATTTCGTTGGAAACGGGATCAACTTCCCATAACTGAACGGAAGCAAACTCAGAACATTCTTTGTGATGTTTGTATTCAATTCACAGAGTTGAACCTTCCTTTGATAGTTCAGGTTTGCAACACCCTTGTAGTAGAATCTGCAAGTGTATATTTTGACCACTTTGTAGCCTTCGTTTGAAACGTCTATATCTTCACATCAAACCTAGACAGAAGCATTCTCAGAAAGTTTTCTGCGATGACTGCATTCAACTCACAGAGTTGAACAATCCTTCTGATGGAGCAGTTTTGAAACCCTCTTTCTTTGGAATCTGCAAGGGGATATGTGGACCTCTTTGAAGATTTCACTGGAAACGGGATCATCTTCACATAAAAACTAAACAGAAGCATTCTCGGAAACTATTTTGTGATGTTTGTATTCAACTCCCAGAGTTGAACTTTCCTTTTGAAAGAGCAGCTATGAAACACTCTTTTTCGAGAATCTGCAAGTGGACGTTTGGAGGGCTTTGAGGCCTGTGGTGGAAAAGGAAATATCTTCACACAAAAACCAGATAGAAGCATTCTCAGAAACTACTTTGTGAGGATGGCATTCAACTCATGGAGTTGAACAATCCTATTGATAGAGCAGATTGGAATCACTCTTTTTATAGAATCTGCAAATGGAGATTTGGACTGCTTTGAGGCCTACGGTAGTACAGGAAGGAACTTCATATAAAAGGCAAACGGAAGCATTCTCAGAATATTCTTTGTGATGATGGAGTTTCACTGACAGAGCTGAACATGCCTTTTGATGGAGCAGTTTCCAAATACACTTTTGGTAGAATCTGCAGGTGGATATTTGGAGCTCTCTGAGGATTTCGTTGGAAACGGGAATAATTTCCCATAACTAAACACAAACACTCTGAGAAAGTTCTTCATGATGAATGCATTTAACTCGCAGAGATGAACCTGCCTTTGAGAGTTCAGGTTCGAAACACTCTTTCTGTATAATCTGCAAGTGGATATTTGGACCACTGGGTGGCCTTCGTTCGAAACGGGTATATGTTCACGTAAAAACTAAAGAGAAGCATTCTCAGAAACTTCTGAGTGATGATTGCATTCAAGTCACACAGTTGAACCCTCCTTTTGATGGAGCAGTTTTGAAACTGTCTTTTTGTAGAATCTGTAAGTGGATGCGTGGACCTCTTTGAAGATTTCTTTGGAAACGGGAATATTTCCACAGAAAAACTAAACTGAAGCATTCTCAGAAACTGCTTTGTGATGTTTGTGTTCGAGCCACAGAGTTTAACATTGCTTTTCATAGAGCAGTTTTGAAATATTCTTTTCGCAGAATTTGCAAGTGGACATTTGGAGCGTTTTCAGGCCTGTGGTGGCAAAGGCCTGAAAGCCTTTTCCTTTATCTTCACAGAAAGACGAGAGAGAAGCATTGTCAGAAACTTCTTTGTGATGATTGCATTCAACTCACAGAGTTGAAGATTCCTTTTGAAACAGCAGTTTCGAAACACTCTTTCTGTGGGATCCGCAAGGGGATATTTGGACCTCTTTGAAGGTTTCGTTGGAAACGGGATAATCTTCACCTAAAAGCTAAACGGAAGCATTCTCAGAAACTTCTTTGGGATGTTTGCATTCACCTCACAGAGTTGAACTTTCCCTTTGATAGCGCAGCTTTGACACACTTTTTCTACAATGTGCAAGTGGCTATTTAGCGGGCTTGGAGGACTGTGTTGGAAAAGGAAATATCTTCTCCTAAAAACGACATAGAAGCATTCTCAGAAACTGCTCTGTGATGATTGCATTCAACTCCCAGAGTTGAACATTCCTTTTGATAGAGCAGTTTGCAAACACTCTTTTTGTAGAATCTGCAAGTGGAGATTTGGACCGCTTTGAGGCCTGTGGTAGTGAAGGAAAGAACTTCATATAAAAACCAGACGGTAGCACTCTCAGAAAATTCTTTGTGACGATGGAGTTTAACTCAGAGCAGCTGAACATTCGTTATGATGGAGCAGTTTCCAAACACACGTTTTGTAGAATCTGCAAGGGGATATTTGGACCTCTCTGAGGATTTCGTTGGAAACGGGATCAACTTCCCATAACTGAACGGAAGCAAACTCAGAACATTCTTTGTGATGTTTGTATTCAACTCACAGAGTTGAACCTTCCTTTGATAGTTCAGGTTTGCAACACCCTTGTAGTAGAATCTGCAAGTGTATATTTTGACCACTTTGTAGCCTTCGTTTGAAACGTCTATATCTTCACATCAAACCTAGACAGAAGCATTCTCAGAAAGTTTTCTGCGATGACTGCATTCAACTCACAGAGTTGAACAATCCTTCTGATGGAGCAGTTTTGAAACCCTCTTTCTTTGGAATCTGCAAGGGGATATGTGGACCTCTTTGAAGATTTCACTGGAAACGGGATCATCTTCACATAAAAACTAAACAGAAGCATTCTCGGAAACTACTTTGTGATGTTTGTATTCAACTCCCAGAGTTGAACTTTCCTTTTGAAAGAGCAGCTATGAAACACTCTTTTTCGAGAATCTGCAAGTGGACGTTTGGAGGGCTTTGAGGCCTGTGGTGGAAAAGGAAATATCTTCACATAAAAACTAGATAGAAGCATTCTCAGAAACTACTTTGTGAGGATGGCATTCAACTCATGGAGTTGAACAATCCTATTGATAGAGCAGATTGGAATCACTCTTTTTGTAGAATCTGCAAATGGAGATTTGGACTGCTTTGAGGCCTACGGTCGTATAGGAAGGAACTTCATATAAAAGGCAAACGGAAGCATTCTCAGAATATTCTTTGTGATGATGGAGTTTCACTCACAGAGCTGAACATGCCTTTTGATGGAGCAGTTTCCAAATACACTTTTGGTAGAATCTGCAGGTGGATATTTGGACCTCTCTGAGGATTTCGTTGGAAACGGGAATAATTTCCCATAACTAAACACAAACACTCTGAGAAAGTTCTTCATGATGAATGCATTTAACTCGCAGAGATGAACCTGCCTTTGAGACTTCAGGTTCGAAACACTCTTTCTGTAGAATCTGCAAGTGGATATTTGGACCACTGGCTGGCCTTCGTTCGAAACGGGTATATGTTCACGTAAAAACTAAAGAGAAGCATTCTCAGAAACTTCTGAGTGATGATTGCATTCAACTCACACAGTTGAACCCTCCTTTTGATGGAGCAGTTTTGAAACTGTCTTTTTGTAGAATCTGTAAGTGGATACGTGGACCTCTTTGAAGATTTCTTTGGAAACGGGAATATTTCCACAGAAAAACTAAACTGAAGCATTCTCAGAAACCGCTTTGTGATGTTTGTGTTCGAGCCACAGAGTTTAACATTGCTTTTCATAGAGCAGTTTTGAAATATTCTTTTGGCAGAATCTGCAAGTGGACATTTGGAGCGCTTTCAGGCCTGTGGTGGAAAAGGCCTGAAAGCCTTTTCCTTTACCTTCACAGAAAGGCGAGAGAGAAGCATTGTCAGAAACTTCTTTGTGATGATTGCATTCAACTCACAGAGTTGAAGATTCCTTTTGAAACAGCAGTTTCGAAACACTCTGTGGGATCCGCAAGGGGATATTTGGACCTCTTTGAAGGTTTCGTTGGAAACGGGATAATCTTCACCTAAAAGCTAAACGGAAGCATTCTCAGAAACTTCTTTGGGATGTTTGCATTCACCTCACAGAGTTGAACTTTCCCTTTGATAGCGCAGCTTTGACACACTTTTTCTACAATGTGCAAGTGGCTATTTAGCGGGCTTGGAGGACTGTGTTGGAAAAGGAAATATCTTCTCCTAAAAACGACATAGAAGCATTCTCAGAAACTGCTCTGTGATGATTGCATTCAACTCCCAGAGTTGAACATTCCTTTTGATAGAGCAGTTTGCAAACACTCTTTTTGTAGAATCTGCAAGTGGAGATTTGGACCGCTTTGAGGCCTGTGGTAGTGAAGGAAAGAACTTCATATAAAAACCAGACGGTAGCACTCTCAGAAAATTCTTTGTGACGATGGAGTTTAACTCAGGGAGCTGAACATTCGTTATGATGGAGCAGTTTCCAAACACACGTTTTGTAGAATCTGCAAGGGGATATTTGGACCTCTCTGAGGATTTCGTTGGAAACGGGATCAACTTCCCATAACTGAACGGAAGCAAACTCAGAACATTCTTTGTGATGTTTGTATTCAATTCACAGAGTTGAACCTTCCTTTGATAGTTCAGGTTTGCAACACCCTTGTAGTAGAATCTGCAAGTGTATATTTTGACCACTTTGTAGCCTTCGTTTGAAACGTCTATATCTTCACATCAAACCTAGACAGAAGCATTCTCAGAAAGTTTTCTGCGATGACTGCATTCAACTCACAGAGTTGAACAATCCTTCTGATGGAGCAGTTTTGAAACCCTCTTTCTTTGGAATCTGCAAGGGGATATGTGGACCTCTTTGAAGATTTCACTGGAAACGGGATCATCTTCACATAAAAACTAAACAGAAGCATTCTCGGAAACTACTTTGTGATGTTTGTATTCAACTCCCAGAGTTGAACTTTCCTTTTGAAAGAGCAGCTATGAAACACTCTTTTTCGAGAATCTGCAAGTGGACGTTTGGAAGGCTTTGAGTCCTGTGGTGGAAAAGAAAATATCTTCACATAAAAACTAGATAGAAGCATTCTCAGAAACGACTTTGTGAGGATGGCATTCAACACATGGAGTTGAACAATCCTATTGATAGAGCAGATTGGAATCACTCTTTTTGTAGAATCTGCAAATGGAGATTTGGACTGCTTTGAGGCCTACGGTCGTATAGGAAGGAACTTCATATAAAAGCAAACGGAAGCATTCTCAGAATATTCTTTGTGATGATGGAGTTTCACTCACAGAGCTGAACATGCCTTTTGATGGAGCAGTTTCCAAATACACTTTTGGTAGAATCTGCAGGTGGAAATTTAGAGCTCTCTGAGGATTTCGTTGGAAACGGGAATAATTTCCCATAACTAAACACAAACACTCTGAGAAAGTTCTTCATGATGAATGCATTTAACTCGCAGAGATGAACCTGCCTTTGAGAGTTCAGGTTCGAAACACTCTTTCTGTAGAATCTGCAAGTGGATATTTGGACCACTGGGTGGCCTTCTTTCGAAACGGGTATATGTTCACGTAAAAACTAAAGAGAAGCATTCTCAGAAACTTCTGAGTGATGATTGCATTCAAGTCACACAGTTGAACCCTCCTTTTGATGGAGCAGTTTTGAAACTGTCTTTTTGTAGAATCTGTAAGTGGATACGTGGACCTCTTTGAAGATTTCTTTGGAAACGGGAATATTTCCACAGAAAAACTAAACTGAAGCATTCTCAGAAACCGCTTTGTGATGTTTGTGTTCGAGCCACAGAGTTTAACATTGCTTTTCATAGAGCAGTTTTGAAATATTCTTTTCGCAGAATCTGCAAGTGGACATTTGGAGCGCTTTCAGGCCTGTGGTGGAAAAGGCCTGAAAGCCTTTTCCTTTATCTTCACAGAAAGACGAGAGAGAAGCATTGTCAGAAACTTCTTTGTGATGATTGCATTCAACTCACAGAGTTGAAGATTCCTTTTGAAACAGCAGTTTCGAAACACTCTTTCTGTGGGATCCGCAAGGGGATATTTGGACCTCTTTGAAGGTTTCGTTGGAAACGGGATAATCTTCACCTAAAAGCTAAACAGAAGCATTCTCAGAAACTTCTTTGGGATGTTTGCATTCACCTCACAGAGTTGAACTTTCCCTTTGATAGCGCAGCTTTGACACACTTTTTCTACAATGTGCAAGTGGCTATTTAGCGGGCTTGGAGGACTGTGTTGGAAAAGGAAATATCTTCTCCTAAAAACGACATAGAAGCATTCTCAGAAACTGCTCTGTGATGATTGCATTCAACTCCCAGAGTTGAACATTCCTTTTGATAGAGCAGTTTGCAAACACTCTTTTTGTAGAATCTGCAAGTGGAGATTTGCACCGCTTTGAGGCCAGTGGTAGTGAAGGAAAGAACTTCATATAAAAACCAGACGGTAGCACTCTCAGAAAATTCTTTGTGACGATGGAGTTTAACTCAGGGAGCTGAACATTCGTTATGATGGAGCAGTTTCCAAACACACGTTTTGTAGAATCTGCAAGGGGATATTTGGACCTCTCTGAGGATTTCGTTGGAAACGGGATCAACTTCCCATAACTGAACGGAAGCAAACTCAGAACATTCTTTGTGATGTTTGTATTCAACTCACAGAGTTGAACCTTCCTTTGATAGTTCAGGTTTGCAACACCCTTGTAGTAGAATCTGCAAGTGTATATTTTGACCACTTTGTAGCCTTCGTTTGAAACGTCTATACCTTCACATCAAACCTAGACAGAAGCATTCTCAGAAAGTTTTCTGCGATGACTGCATTCAACTCACAGAGTTGAACAATCCTTCTGATGGAGCAGTTTTGAAACCCTCTTTCTTTGGAATCTGCAAGGGGATATGTGGACCTCTTTGAAGATTTCACTGGAAACGGGATCATCTTCACATAAAAACTAAACAGAAGCATTCTCGGAAACTACTTTGTGATGTTTGTATTCAACTCCCAGAGTTGAACTTTCCTTTTGAAAGAGCAGCTATGAAACACTCTTTTTCGAGAATCTGCAAGTGGACGTTTGGAGGGCTTTGAGGCCTGTGGTGGAAAAGGAAATATCTTCACATAAAAACTAGATAGAAGCATTCTCAGAAACTACTTTGTGAGGATGGCATTCAACTCATGGAGTTGAACAATCCTATTGATAGAGCAGATTGGAATCACTCTTTTTGTAGAATCTGCAAATGGAGATTTGGACTGCTTTGAGGCCTACGGTAGTATAGGAAGGAACTTCATATAAAAGGCAAACGGAAGCATTCTCAGAATATTCTTTTTGATGATGGAGTTTCACTCACAGAGCTGAACATGCCTTTTGATGGAGCAGTTTCCAAATACACTTTTGGTAGAATCTGCAGGTGGATATTTGGAGCTCTCTGAGGATTTCGTTGGAAACGGGAATAATTTCCCATAACTAAACACAAACACGCTGAGAAAGTTCTTCATGATGAATGCATTGAACTCGCAGAGATGAACCTGCCTTTGAGAGTTCAGGTTCGAAACACTCTTTCTGTAGAATCTGCAAGTGGATATTTGGACCACTGGCTGGCCTTCTTTCGAAACGGGTATATGTTCACGTAAAAACTAAAGAGAAGCGTTCTCAGAAACTTCTGAGTGATGATTGCATTCAAGTCACACAGTTGAACCCTCCTTTTGATTGAGCAGTTTTGAAACTGTCTTTTTGTAGAATCTGTAAGTGGATGCGTGGACCTCTTTGAAGATTTCTTTGGAAACGGGAATATTTCCACAGAAAAACTAAACTGAAGCATTCTCAGAAACGGCTTTGTGATGTTTGTGTTCGAGCCACAGAGTTTAACATTGCTTTTCGTAGAGCAGTTTTGAAATATTCTTTTGGCAGAATCTGCAAGTGGACATTTGGAGCGCTTTCAGGCCTGTGGTGGAAAAGGCCTGAAAGCCTTTTCCTTTATCTTCACAGAAAGACGAGAGAGAAGCATTGTCAGAAACTTCTTTGTGATGATTGCATTCAACTCACAGAGTTGAAGATTCCTTTTGAAACAGCAGTTTCGAAACACTCTTTCTGTGGGATCCGCAGGGGGATATTTGGACCTCTTTGAAGATTTCGTTGGAAACGGGATAATCTTCACCTAAAAGCTAAACGGAAGCATTCTCAGAAACTTCTTTGGGATGTTTGCATTCACCTCACAGAGTTGAACTTTCCCTTTGATAGCGCAGCTTCGACACACTTTTTCTACAATGTGCAAGTGGCTATTTAGCGGGCTTGGAGGACTGTGTTGGAAAAGGAAATATCTTCTCCTAAAAACGACATAGAAGCATTCTCAGAAACTGCTCTGTGATGATTGCATTCAACTCCCAGAGTTGAACATTCCTTTTGATAGAGCAGTTTGCAAACACTCTTTTTGTAGAATCTGCAAGTGGAGATTTGGACCGCTTTGAGGCCTGTGGTAGTGAAGGAAAGAACTTCATATAAAAACCAGACGGTAGCACTCTCAGAAAATTCTTTGTGACGATGGAGTTTAACTCAGGGAGCTGAACATTCGTTATGATGGAGCAGTTTCCAAACACACGTTTTGTAGAATCTGCAAGGGGATATTTGGACCTCTCTGAGGATTTCGTTGGAAACGGGATCAACTTCCCATAACTGAACGGAAGCAAACTCAGAACATTCTTTGTTATGTTTGTATTCAACTCACAGAGTTGAACCTTCCTTTGATAGTTCAGGTTTGCAAAACCCTTGTAGTAGAATCTGCAAGTGTATATTTTGACCACTTTGTAGCCTTCGTTTGAAACGTCTATATCTTCACATCAAACCTAGACAGAAGCATTCTCAGAAAGTTTTCTGCGATGACTGCATTCAACTCACAGAGTTGAACAATCCTTTTGATGGAGCAGTTTTGAAACCCTCTTTCTTTGGAATCTGCAAGGGGATATGTGGACCTCTTTGAAGATTTCACTGGAAACGGGATCATCTTCACATAAAAACTAAACAGAAGCATTCTCGGAAACTATTTTGTGATGTTTGTATTCAACTCCCAGAGTTGAACTTTCCTTTTGAAAGAGCAGCTATGAAACACTCTTTTTCGAGAATCTGCAAGTGGACGTTTGGAGGGCTTTGAGGCCTGTGGTGGAAAAGGAAATATCTTCACACAAAAACCAGATAGAAGCATTCTCAGAAACTGCTTTGTGAGGATGGCATTCAACTCATGGAGTTGAACAATCCTATTGATAGAGCAGATTGGAATCACTCTTTTTGTAGAATCTGCAAATGGAGATTTGGACTGCTTTGAGGCCTACGGTAGTACAGGAAGGAACTTCATATAAAAGGCAAACGGAAGCATTCTCAGAATATTCTTTGTGATGATGGAGTTTCACTCACAGAGCTGAACATGCCTTGTGATGGAGCAGTTTCCAAATACACTTTTGGTAGAATCTGCAGGTGGATATTTGGAGCTCTCTGAGGATTTCGTTGGAAACGGGAATAATTTCCCATAACTAAACACAAACACTCTGAGAAAGTTCTTCATGATGAATGCATTTAACTCGCAGAGATGAACCTGCCTTTGAGAGTTCAGGTTCGAAACACTCTTTCTGTAGAATCTGCAAGTGGATATTTGGACCACTGGGTGGCCTTCGTTCGAAACGGGTATATGTTCACGTAAAAACTAAAGAGAAGCATTCTCAGAAACTTCTGAGTGATGATTGCATTCAAGTCACACAGTTGAACCCTCCTTTTGATGGAGCAGTTTTGAAACTGTCTTTTTGTAGAATCTGTAAGTGGATACGTGGACCTCTTTGAAGATTTCTTTGGAAACGGGAATATTTCCACAGAAAAACTAAACTGAAACATTCTCAGAAACCGCTTTGTGATGTTTGTGTTCCAGCCACAGAGTTTAACATTGCTTTTCATAGAGCAGTTTTGAAATATTCTTTTCGCAGAATCTGCAAGTGGACATTTGGAGCGCTTTCAGGCCTGTGGTGGAAAAGGCCTGAAAGCCTTTTCCTTTATCTTCACAGAAAGACGAGAGAGAAGCATTGTCAGAAACTTCTTTGTGATGATTGCATTCAACTCACAGAGTTGAAGATTCCTTTTGAAACAGCAGTTTCGAAACACTCTTTCTGTGGGATCCGCAAGGGGATATTTGGACCTCTTTGAAGGTTTCGTTGGAAACGGGATAATCTTCACCTAAAAGCTAAACGGAAGCATTCTCAGAAACTTCTTTGGGATGTTTGCATTCACCTCACAGAGTTGAACTTTCCCTTTGATAGCGCAGCTTTGACACACTTTTTCTACAATGTGCAAGTGGCTATTTAGCGGGCTTGGAGGACTGTGTTGGAAAAGGAAGTATCTTCTCCTAAAAACGACATAGAAGCATTCTCAGAAACTGCTCTGTGATGATTGCATTCAACTCCCAGAGTTGAACATTCCTTTTGATAGAGCAGTTTGCAAACACTCTTTTTGTAGAATCTGCAAGTGGAGATTTGGACCGCTTTGAGGCCTGTGGTAGTGAAGGAAAGAACTTCATATAAAAACCAGACGGTAGCACTCTCAGAAAATTCTTTGTGACGATGGAGTTTAACTCAGGGAGCTGAACATTCGTTATGATGGAGCAGTTTCCAAACACACGTTTTGTAGAATCTGCGAGGGGATATTTGGACCTCTCTGAGGATTTCTTTGGAAACGGGATCAACTTCCCATAACTGAACGGAAGCAAACTCAGAACATTCTTTGTGATGTTTGTATTCAACTCACAGAGTTGAACCTTCCTTTGATAGTTCAGGTTTGCAACACCCTTGTAGTAGAATCTGCAAGTGTATATTTTGACCACTTTGTAGCCTTCGTTTGAAACGTCTATATCTTCACATCAAACCTAGACAGAAGCATTCTCAGAAAGTTTTCTGCGATGACTGCATTCAACTCACAGAGTTGAACAATCCTTCTGATGGAGCAGTTTTGAAACCCTCTTTCTTTGGAATCTGCAAGGGGATATGTGGACCTCTTTGAAGATTTCACTGGAAACGGGATCATCTTCACATAAAAACTAAACAGAAGCATTCTCGGAAACTACTTTGTGATGTTTGTATTCAACTCCCAGAGTTGAACTTTCCTTTTGAAAGAGCAGCTATGAAACACTCTTTTTCGAGAATCTGCAAGTGGACGTTTGGAGGGCTTTGAGGCCTGTGGTGGAAAAGGAAATATCTTCACATAAAAACTAGATAGAAGCATTCTCAGAAACTACTTTGTGAGGATGGCATTCAACTCATGGAGTTGAACAATCCTATTGATAGAGCAGATTGGAATCACTCTTTTTGTAGAATCTGCAAATGGAGATTTGGACTGCTTTGAGGCCTACGGTAGTACAGGAAGGAACTTCATATAAAAGGCAAACGGAAGCATTCTCAGAATATTCTTTGTGATGATGGAGTTTCACTCACAGAGCTGAACATGCCTTTTGATGGAGCAGTTTCCAAATACACTTTTGGTAGAATCTGCAGGTGGATATTTGGAGCTCTCTGAGGATTTCGTTGGAAACGGGAATAATTTCCCATAACTAAACACAAACACTCTGAGAAAGTTCTTCATGATGAATGCATTTAACTCGCAGAGATGAACCTGCCTTTGAGAGTTCAGGTTCGAAACACTCTTTCTGTATAATCTGCAAGTGGATATTTGGACCACTGGGTGGCCTTCGTTCGAAACGGGTATATGTTCACGTAAAAACTAAAGAGAAGCATTCTCAGAAACTTCTGAGTGATGATTGCATTCAAGTCACACGGTTGAACCCTCCTTTTGATGGAGCAGTTTTGAAACTGTCTTTTTGTAGAATCTGTAAGTGGATACGTGGACCTCTTTGAAGATTTCTTTGGAAACGGGAATATTTCCACAGAAAAACTAAACTGAAGCATTCTCAGAAACCGCTTTGTGATGTTTGTGTTCGAGCCACAGAGTTTAACATTGCTTTTCATAGAGCAGTTTTGAAATATTCTTTTCGCAGAATCTGCAAGGGGACATTTGGAGCGCTTTCAGGCCTGTGGTGGAAAAGGCCTGAAAGCCTTTTCCTTTATCTTCACAGAAAGACGAGAGAGAAGCATTGTCAGAAACTTCTTTGTGATGATTGCATTCAACTCACAGAGTTGAAGATTCCTTTTGAAACAGCAGTTTCGAAACACTCTTTCTGTGGGATCCGCAAGGGGATATTTGGACCTCTTTGAAGGTTTCGTTGGAAACGGGATAATCTTCCCCTAAAAGCTAAACGGAAGCATTCTCAGAAACTTCTTTGGGATGTTTGCATTCACCTCACAGAGTTGAACTTTCCCTTTGATAGCGCAGCTTTGACACACTTTTTCTACAATGTGCAAGTGGCTATTTAGCGGGCTTGGAGGACTGTGTTGGAAAAGGAAATATCTTCTCCTAAAAACGACATAGGAAGCATTCTCAGAAACTGCTCTGTGATGATTGCATTCAACTCCCCAGAGTTGAACATTCCTTTTGATAGAGCAGTTTGCAAACACTCTTTTTGTAGAATCTGCAAGTGGAGATTTGGACCGCTTTGAGGTCTGTGGTAGTGAAGGAAAGAACTTCATATAAAAACCAGACGGTAGCACTCTCAGAAAATTCTTTGTGACGATGGAGTTTAACTCAGGGAGCTGAACATTCGTTATGATGGAGCAGTTTCCAAACACACGTTTTGTAGAATCTGCAAGGGGATATTTGGACCTCTCTGAGGATTTCGTTGGAAACGGGATCAACTTCCCATAACTGAACGGAAGCAAACTCAGAACATTCTTTGTGATGTTTGTATTCAACTCACAGAGTTGAACCTTCCTTTGATAGTTCAGGTTTGCAACACCCTTGTAGTAGAATCTGCAAGTGTATATTTTGACCACTTTGTAGCCTTCGTTTGAAACGTCTATATCTTCACATCAAACCTAGACAGAAGCATTCTCAGAAAGTTTTCTGCGATGACTGCATTCAACTCACACAGTTGAACAATCCTTCTGATGGAGCAGTTTTGAAACCCACTTTCTTTGGAATCTGCAAGGGGATATGTGGACCTCTTTGAAGATTTCACTGGAAACGGGATCATCTTCACATAGAAACTAAACAGAAGCATTCTCGGAAACTACTTTGTGATGTTTGTATTCAACTGCCAGAGTTGAACTTTCCTTTTGAAAGAGCAGCTATGAAACACTCTTTTTCGAGAATCTGCAAGTGGACGTTTGGAGGGCTTTGAGGCCTGTGGTGGAAAAGGAAATATCTTCACATAAAAACTAGATAGAAGCATTCTCAGAAACTACTTTGTGAGGATGGCATTCAACTCACGGAGTTGAACAATCCTATTGATAGAGCAGATTGGAAACACTCTTTTTGTAGAATCTGTAAATGGAGATTTGGACTGCTTTGAGGCCTACGGTAGTATAGGAAGGAACTTCATATAAAAAGCAAACGGAAGCATTCTCAGAATATTCTTTGTGATGATGGAGTTTCACTCACAGAGCTGAACATGCCTTTTGATGGAGCAGTTTCCAAATACACTTTTGGTAGAATCTGCAGGTGGATATTTGGAGCTCTCTGAGGATTTCGTTGGAAACGGGAATAATTTCCCATAACTAAACACAAACACTCTGAGAAAGTTCTTCATGATGAATGCATTTAACTCGCAGAGATGAACCTGCCTTTGAGAGTTCAGGTTCGAAACACTCTTTCTGTAGAATCTGCAAGTGGATATTTGGACCACTGGCTGGCCTTCGTTCGAAACGGGTATATGTTCACGTAAAAACTAAAGAGAAGCATTCTCAGAAACTTCTGAGTGATGATTGCATTCAAGTCACACAGTTGAACCCTCCTTTTGATGGAGCAGTTTTGAAACTGTCTTTTTGTAGAATCTGTAAGTGGATACGTGGACCTCTTTGAAGATTTCTTTGGAAACGGGAATATTTCCAAAGAAAAACTAAACTGAAGCATTCTCAGAAACCGCTTTGTGATGTTTGTGTTCGAGCCACAGAGTTTAACATTGCTTTTCATAGAGCAGTTTTGAAATATTCTTTTCGCAGAATCTGCAAGTGGACATTTGGAGCGCTTTCAGGCCTGTGGTGGCAAAGGCCTGAAAGCCTTTTCCTTTATCTTCACAGAAAGACGAGAGAGAAGCATTGTCAGAAACTTCTTTGTGATGATTGCATTCAACTCACAGAGTTGAAGATTCCTTTTGAAACAGCAGTTTCGAAACACTCTGTGGGATCCGCAAGGGGATATTTGGACCTCTTTGAAGGTTTCGTTGGAAACGGGATAATCTTCACCTAAAAGCTAAACGGAAGCACTCTCAGAAACTTCTTTGGGATGTTTGCATTCACCTCTCAGAGTTGAACTTTCCCTTTGATAGCGCAGCTTTGACACACTTTTTCTACAATGTGCAAGTGGATATTTAGCGGGCTTGGAGGACTGTGTTGGAAAAGGAAATATCTTCTCCTATAAACGACATAGAAGCATTCTCAGAAACTGCTCTGTGATGATTGCATTCAACTCCCAGAGTTGAACATTCCTTTTGATAGAGCAGTTTGCAAACACTCTTTTTGTAGAATCTGCAAGTGGAGATTTGGACCGCTTTGAGGCCTGTGGTAGTGAAGGAAAGAGCTTCATATAAAAACCAGACGGTAGCACTCTCAGAAAATTCTTTGTGACGATGGAGTTTAACTCAGGGAGCTGAACATTCGTTATGATGGAGCAGTTTCCAAACACACGTTTTGTAGAATCTGCAAGGGGATATTTGGACCTCTCTGAGGATTTCGTTGGAAACGGGATCAACTTCCCATAACTGAACGGAAGCAAACTCAGAACATTCTTTGTGATGTTTGTATTCAACTCACAGAGTTGAACCTTCCTTTGATAGTTCAGGTTTGCAACACCCTTGTAGTAGAATCTGCAAGTGTATATTTTGACCACTTTGTAGCCTTCGTTTGAAACGTCTATATCTTCACATCAAACCTAGACAGAAGCATTCTCAGAAAGTTTTCTGCGATGACTGCATTCAACTCACAGAGTTGAACAATCCTTCTGATGGAGCAGTTTTGAAACCCTCTTTCTTTGGAATCTGCAAGGGGATATGTGGACCTCTTTGAAGATTTCACTGGAAACGGGATCATCTTCACATAAAAACTAAACAGAAGCATTCTCGGAAACTACTTTGTGATGTTTGTATTCAACTCCCAGAGTTGAACTTTCCTTTTGAAAGAGCAGCTATGAAACACTCTTTTTCGAGAATCTGCAAGTGGCCGTTTGGAGGGCTTTGAGGCCTGTGGTGGAAAAGGAAATATCTTCACATAAAAACTAGATAGAAGCATTCTCAGAAACGACTTTGTGAGGATGGCATTCAACTCATGGAGTTGAACAATCCTATTGATAGAGCAGATTGGAATCACTCTTTTTGTAGAATCTGCAAATGGAGATTTGGACTGCTTTGAGGCCTACGGTCGTATAGGAAGGAACTTCATATAAAAGGCAAACGGAAGCATTCTCAGAATATTCTTTGTGATGATGGAGTTTCACTCACAGAGCTGAACATGCCTTTTGATGGAGCAGTTTCCAAATACACTTTTGGTAGAATCTGCAGGTGGATATTTGGAGCTCTCTGAGGATTTCGTTGGAAACGGGGAATAATTTCCCATAACTAAACACAAACACTCTGAGAAAGTTCTTCATGATGAATGCATTTAACTCGCAGAGATGAACCTGCCTTTGAGAGTTCAGGTTCGAAACACTCTTTCTGTAGAATCTGCAAGTGGATATTTGGACCACTGGGTGGCCTTCGTTCGAAACGGGTATATGTTCACGTAAAAACTAAAGAGAAGCATTCTCAGAAACTTCTGAGTGATGATTGCATTCAAGTCACACAGTTGAACCCTCCTTTTGATGGAGCAGTTTTGAAACTGTCTTTTTGTAGAATCTGTAAGTGGATACGTGGACCTCTTTGAAGATTTCTTTGGAAACGGGAATATTTCCACAGAAAAACTAAACTGAAGCATTCTCAGAAACCGCTTTGTGATGTTTGTGTTCGAGCCACAGAGTTTAACATTGCTTTTCATAGAGCAGTTTTGAAATATTCTTTTCGCAGAATCTGCAAGTGGACATTTGGAGCGCTTTCAGGCCTGTGGTGGAAAAGGCCTGAAAGCCTTTTCCTTTATCTTCACAGAAAGACGAGAGAGAAGCATTGTCAGAAACTTCTTTGTGATGATTGCATTCAACTCACAGAGTTGAAGATTCCTTTTGAAACAGCAGTTTCGAAACACTCTTTCTGTGGGATCCGCAAGGGGATATTTGGACCTCTTAGAAGGTTTCGTTGGAAACGGGATTATCTTCACCTAAAAGCTAAACGGAAGCATTCTCAGAAACTTCTTTGGGATGTTTGCATTCACCTCACAGAGTTGAACTTTCCCTTTGATAGCGCAGCTTTGACACACTTTTTCTACAATGTGCAAGTGGCTATTTAGCGGGCTTGGAGGACTGTGTTGGAAAAGGAAATATCTTCTCCTAAAAACGACATAGAAGCATTCTCAGAAACTGCTCTGTGATGATTGCATTCAACTCCCAGAGTTGAACATTCCTTTTGATAGAGCAGTTTGCAAACACTCTTTTTGTAGAATCTGCAAGTGGAGATTTGGACCGCGTTGAGGCCTGTGGTAGTGAAGGAAAGAACTTCATATAAAAACCAGACGGTAGCACTCTCAGAAAATTCTTTGTGACGATGGAGTTTAACTCAGGGAGCTGAACATTCGTTATGATGGAGCAGTTTCCAAACACACGTTTTGTAGAATCTGCAAGGGGATATTTGGACCTCTCTGAGGATTTCGTTGGAAACGGGATCAACTTCCCATAACTGAACGGAAGCAAACTCAGAACATTCTTTGTGATGTTTGTATTCAACTCACAGAGTTGAACCTTCCTTTGATAGTTCAGGTTTGCAACACCCTTGTAGTAGAATCTGCAAGTGTATATTTTGACCACTTTGTAGCCTTCGTTTGAAACGTCTATATCTTCACATCAAACCTAGACAGAAGCATTCTCAGAAAGTTTTCTGCGATGACTGCATTCCACTCACAGAGTTGAACAATCCTTCTGATGGAGCAGTTTTGAAACCCTCTTTCTTTGGAATCTGCAAGGGGATATGTGGACCTCTTTGAAGATTTCACTGGAAACGGGATCATCTTCACATAAAAACTAAACAGAAGCATTCTCGGAAACTACTTTGTGATGTTTGTATTCAACTCCCAGAGTTGAACTTTCCTTTTGAAAGAGCAGCTATGAAACACTCTTTTTCGAGAATCTGCAAGTGGACGTTTGGAGGGCTTTGAGGCCTGTGGTGGAAAAGGAAATATCTTCACATAAAAACTAGATAGAAGCATTCTCAGAAACGACTTTGTGAGGATGGCATTCAACTCATGGAGTTGAACAATCCTATTGATAGAGCAGATTGGAATCACTCTTTTTGTAGAATCTGCAAATGGAGATTTGGACTGCTTTGAGGCCTACGGTCGTATAGGAAGGAACTTCATATAAAAGGCAAACGGAAGCATTCTCAGAATATTCTTTGTGATGATGGAGTTTCACTCACAGAGCTGAACATGCCTTTTGATGGAGCAGTTTCCAAATACACTTTTGGTAGAATCTGCAGGTGGATATTTAGAGCTCTCTGAGGATTTCGTTGGGAACGGGAATAATTTCCCATAACTAAACACAAACACGCTGAGAAAGTTCTTCATGATGAATGCATTTATCTCGCAGAGATGAACCTGCCTTTGAGAGTTCAGGTTCGAAACACTCTTTCTGTAGAATCTGCAAGTGGATATTTGGACCACTGGCTGGCCTTCATTCGAAACGGGTATATGTTCACGTAAAAACTAAAGAGAAGCGTTCTCAGAAACTTCTGAGTGATGATTGCATTCAAGTCACACAGTTGAACCCTCCTTTTGATTGAGCAGTTTTGAAACTGTCTTTTTGTAGAATCTGTAAGTGGATGCGTGGACCTCTTTGAAGATTTCTTTGGAAACGGGAATATTTCCACAGAAAAAATAAACTGAAGCATTCTCAGAAACTGCTTTGTGATGTTTGTGTTCGAGCCACAGAGTTTAACATTGCTTTTCATAGAGCAGTTTTGAAATATTCTTTTGGCAGAATCTGCAAGTGGACATTTGGAGCGCTTTCAGGCCTCTGGTGGAAAAGGCCTGAAAGCCTTTTCCTTTATCTTCACAGAAAGACGAGAGAGAAGCATTGTCAGAAACTTCTTTGTGATGATTGCATTCAACTCACAGAGTTGAAGATTCCTTTTGAAACAGCAGTTTCGAAACACTCTTTCTGTGGGATCCGCAAGGGGATATTTGGACCTCTTTGAAGATTTCGTTGCAAACGGGATAATCTTCACCTAAAAGCTAAACGGAAGCATTCTCAGAAACTTCTTTGGGATGTTTGCATTCACCTCACAGAGTTGAACTTTCCCTTTGATAGCGCAGCTTCGACACACTTTTTCTACAATGTGCAAGTGGATATTTAGCGGGCTTGGAGGACTGTGTTGGAAAAGGAAATATCTTCTCCTAAAAACGACATAGAAGCATTCTCAGAAACTGCTCTGTGATGATTGCATTCAACTCCCAGAGTTGAACATTCCTTTTGATAGAGCAGTTTGCAAACACTCTTTTTGTAGAATCTGCAAGTGGAGATTTGGACCGCTTTGAGGCCTGTGGTAGTAAAGGAAAGAACTTCCTATAAAAACTAGACGGTAGCACTCTCAGAAAATTCTTTGTGACGATGGAGTTTAACTTAGAGAGCTGAACATTCGTTATGATGGAGCAGTTTCCAAACACACGTTTTGTAGAATCTGCAAGGGGATATTTGGACCTCTCTGAGGATTTCGTTGGAAACGGGATCAACTTCCCATAACTGAACGGAAGCAAACTCAGAACATTCTTTGTGATGTTTGTATTCAACTCACAGAGTTGAACCTTCCTTTGATTGTTCAGGTTTGCAACACCCTTGTAGTAGAATCTGCAAGTGTATATTTTGACCACTTTGTAGCCTTCGTTTGAAACGTCTATATCTTCACCTCAAACCTAGACAGAAGCATTCTCAGAAAGTTTTCTGCGATGACTGCATTCAACTCACAGAGTTGAACAATCCTTTTGATGGAGCAGTTTTGAAACCCTCTTTCTTTGGAATCTGCAAGGGGATATGTGGACCTCTTTGAAGATTTCACTGGAAACGGGATCATCTTCACATAAGAACTAAACAGAAGCATTCTCGGAAACTACTTTGTGAAGTTTGTATTCAACTCCCAGAGTTGAACTTTCCTTGTGAAAGAGCAGCTATGAAACACTCTTTTTCGAGAATCTGCAAGTGGACGTTTGGAGGGCTTTGAGGCCTGTGGTGGAAAAGGAAATATCTTCACATAAAAACTAGATAGAAGCATTCTCAGAAACGACTTTGTGAGGATGGCATTCAACTCATGGAGTTGAACAATCCTATTGATAGAGCAGATTGGAATCACTCTTTTTGTAGAATCTGCAAATGGAGATTTGCACTGCTTTGAGGCCTACGGTCGTATAGGAAGGAACTTCATATAAAAGGCAAACGGAAGCATTCTCAGAATATTCTTTGTGATGATGGAGTTTCACTCACAGAGCTGAACATGCCTGTTGATGGAGCAGTTTCCAAATACACTTTTGGTAGAATCTGCAGGTGGACATTTGGACCTCTCTGAGGATTTCGTTGGGAACGGGAATAATTTCCCATAACTAAACACAAACACTCTGAGAAAGTTCTTCATGATGAATGCATTTAACTCGCAGAGATGAACCTGCCTTTGAGAGTTCAGGTTCGAAACACTCTTTCTGTAGAATCTGCAAGTGGACATTTGGACCACTGGGTGGCCTTCGTTCGAAACGGGTATATGTTCACGTAAAAACTAAAGAGAAGCATTCTCAGAAACTTCTGAGTGATGATTGCATTCAAGTCACATAGTTGAACCCTCCTTTTGATGGAGTAGTTTTGAAACTGTCTTTTTGTAGAATCTGTAAGTGGATACGTGGACCTCTTTGAAGATTTCTTTGGAAACGGGAATATTTCCACAGAAAAACTAAACTGAAGCATTCTCAGAAACTGCTTTGTGATGTTTGTGTTCGAGCCACAGAGTTTAACATTGCTTTTCATAGAGCAGTTTTGAAATATTCTTTTCGCAGAATCTGCAAGTGGACATTTGGAGCGCTTTCAGGCCTGTGGTGGCAAAGGCCTGAAAGCCTTTTCCTTTATCTTCACAGAAAGACGAGAGAGAAGCATTGTCAGAAACTTCTTTGTGATGATTGCATTCAACTCACAGAGTTGATTTTCCTTTTGAAACAGCAGTTTCGAAACACTCTTTCTGTGGGATCCGCAAGGGGATATTTGGACCTCTTTGAAGATTTCGTTGGAAACGGGATAATCTTCACCTAAAAGCTAAACGGAAGCATTCTCAGAAACTTCTTTGGGATGTTTGCATTCACCTCACAGAGTTGAACTTTCCCTTTGATAGCGCAGCTTTGACACACTTTTTCTACAACGTGCAAGTGGCTATTTAGCGGGCTTGGAGGACTGTGTTGGAAAAGGAAATATCTTCTCCTAAAAACGACATAGAAGCATTCTCAGAAACTGCTCTGTGATGATTGCATTCAACTCCCAGAGTTGAACATTCCTTTTGATAGAGCAGTTTGCAAACACTCTTTTTGTAGAATCTGCAAGTGGAGATTTGGACCGCTTTGAGGCCTGTGGTAG
This sequence comes from Homo sapiens, assembly GCF_000001405.40. NCBI lineage: Eukaryota > Metazoa > Chordata > Mammalia > Primates > Hominidae > Homo > Homo sapiens. The sequence goes on from NC_000023.11 coordinate 60,442,973, forward strand.
TGAAGGAAAGAACTTCATATAAAAACCAGACGGTAGCACTCTCAGAAAATTCTTTGTGACGATGGAGTTTAACTCAGGGAGCTGAACATTCGTTATGATGGAGCAGTTTCCAAACACACGTTTTGTAGAATCTGCAAGGGGATATTTGGACCTCTCTGAGGATTTCGTTGGAAACGGGATCAACTTCCCATAACTGAACGGAAGCAAACTCAGAACATTCTTTGTGATGTTTGTATTCAACTCACAGAGTTGAACCTTCCTTTGATAGTTCAGGTTTGCAACACCCTTGTAGTAGAATCTGCAAGTGTATATTTTGACCACTTTGTAGCCTTCGTTTGAAACGTCTATACCTTCACATCAAACCTAGACAGAAGCATTCTCAGAAAGTTTTCTGCGATGACTGCATTCAACTCACAGAGTTGAACAATCCTTCTGATGGAGCAGTTTTGAAACCCTCTTTCTTTGGAATCTGCAAGGGGATATGTGGACCTCTTTGAAGATTTCACTGGAAACGGGATCATCTTCACATAAAAACTAAACAGAAGCATTCTCGGAAACTACTTTGTGATGTTTGTATTCAACTCCCAGAGTTGAACTTTCCTTTTGAAAGAGCAGCTATGAAACACTCTTTTTCGAGAATCTGCAAGTGGACGTTTGGAGGGCTTTGAGGCCTGTGGTGGAAAAGGAAATATCTTCACATAAAAACTAGATAGAAGCATTCTCAGAAACTACTTTATGAGGATGGCATTCAACTCATGGAGTTGAACAATCCTATTGATAGAGCAGATTGGAATCACTCTTTTTGTAGAATCTGCAAATGGAGATTTGGACTGCTTTGAGGCCTACGGTAGTATTGGAAGGAACTTCATATAAAAGGCAAACGGAAGCATTCTCAGAATATTCTTTGTGATGATGGAGTTTCACTCACAGAGCTGAACATGCCTTTTGATGGAGCAGTTTCCAAATACACTTTTGGTAGAATCTGCAGGTGGATATTTGGAGCTCTCTGAGGATTTCTTTGGAAAAGGGAATAATTTCCCATAACTAAACACAAACACTCTGAGAAAGTTCTTCATGATGAATGCATTTAACTCGCAGAGATGAACCTGCCTTTGAGAGTTCAGGTTCGAAACACTCTTTCTGTAGAATCTGCAAGTGGATATTTGGACCACTGGGTGGCCTTCGTTCGAAACGGGTATATGTTCACGTAAAAACTAAAGAGAAGCATTCTCAGAAACTTCTGAGTGATGATTGCATTCAAGTCACACAGTTGAACCCTCCTTTTGATTGAGCAGTTTTGAAACTGTCTTTTTGTGGAATCTGTAAGTGGATGCGTGGACCTCTTTGAAGATTTCTTTGGAAACGGGAATATTTCCACAGAAAAACTATACTGAAGCATTCTCAGAAACTGCTTTGTGATGTTTGTGTTCGAGCCACAGAGTTTAACATTGCTTTTCATAGAGCAGTTTTGCAATATTCTTTTCACAGAATCTGCAAGTGGACATTTGGAGCGCTTTCAGGCCTGTGGTGGGAAAAGGCCTGAAAGCCTTTTCCTTTATCTTCACAGAAAGACGAGAGAGAAGCATTGTCAGAAACTTCTTTGTGATGATTGCATTCAACTCACAGAGTTGAAGATTCCTTTTGAAACAGCAGTTTCGAAACACTCTTTCTGTGGGATCCGCAAGGGGATATTTGGACCTCTTTGAAGGTTTCGTTGGAAACGGGATAATCTTCACCTAAAAGCTAAACGGAAGCATTCTCAGAAACTTCTTTGGGATGTTTGCATTCACCTCACAGAGTTGAACTTTCCCTTTGATAGCGCAGCTTTGACACACTTTTTCTACAATGTGCAAGTGGCTATTTAGCGGGCTTGGAGGACTGTGTTGGAAAAGGAAATATCTTCTCCTAAAAACGACATAGAAGCATTCTCAGAAACTGCTCTGTGATGATTGCATTCAACTCCCAGAGTTGAACATTCCTTTTGATAGAGCAGTTTGCAAACACTCTTTTTGTAGAATCTGCAAGTGGAGATTTGGACCGCTTTGAGGCCTGTGGTAGTGAAGGAAAGAACTTCATATAAAAACCAGACGGTAGCACTCTCAGAAAATTCTTTGTGACGATGGAGTTTAACTCAGGGAGCTGAACATTCGTTATGATGGAGCAGTTTCCAAACACACGTTTTGTAGAATCTGCGAGGGGATATTTGGACCTCTCTGAGGATTTCGTTGGAAACGGGATCAACTTCCCATAACTGAACGGAAGCAAACTCAGAACATTCTTTGTGATGTTTGTATTCAATTCACAGAGTTGAACCTTCCTTTGATAGTTCAGGTTTGCAACACCCTTGTAGTAGAATCTGCAAGTGTATATTTTGACCATGTTGTAGCCTTCGTTTGAAACGTCTATATCTTCACATCAAACCTAGACAGAAGCATTCTCAGAAAGTTTTCTGCGATGACTGCATTCAACTCACAGAGTTGAACAATCCTTCTGATGGAGCAGTTTTGAAACCCTCTTTCTTTGGAATCTGCAAGGGGATATGTGGACCTCTTTGAAGATTTCACTGGAAACGGGATCATCTTCACATAAAAACTAAACAGAAGCATTCTCGGAAACTACTTTGTGATGTTTGTATTCAACTGCCAGAGTTGAACTTTCCTTTTGAAAGAGCAGCTATGAAACACTCTTTTTCGAGAATCTGCAAGTGGACGTTTGGAGGGCTTTGAGGCCTGTGGTGGAAAAGGAAATATCTTCACATAAAAACTAGATAGAAGCATTCTCAGAAACGACTTTGTGAGGATGGCATTCAACTCATGGAGTTGAACAATCCTATTGATAGAGCAGATTGGAATCACTCTTTTTGTAGAATCTGCAAATGGAGATTTGGACTGCTTTGAGGCCTACGGTAGTATAGGAAGGAACTTCATATAAAAGGCAAACGGAAGCATTCTCAGAATATTTTTGTGATGATGGAGTTTCACTCACAGAGCTGAACATGCCTTTTGATGGAGCAGTTTCCAAATACACTTTTGGTAGAATCTGCAGGTGGATATTTGGAGCTCTCTGAGGATTTCGTTGGAAACGGGAATAATTTCCCATAACTAAACACAAACACGCTGAGAAAGTTCTTCATGATGAATGCATTGAACTCGCAGAGATGAACCTGCCTTTGAGAGTTCAGGTTCGAAACACTCTTTCTGTAGAATCTGCAAGTGGATATTTGGACCACTGGGTGGCCTTCGTTCGAAACGGCTATATGTTCACGTAAAAACTAAACAGAAGCGTTCTCAGAAACTTCTGAGTGATGATTGCATTCAAGTCACACGGTTGAACCCTCCTTTTGATTGAGCAGTTTTGAAACTGTCTTTTTGTAGAATCTGTAAGTGGATACGTGGACCTCTTTGAAGATTTCTTTGGAAACGGGAATATTTCCACAGAAAAACTAAATTGAAGCATTCTCAGAAACCGCTTTGTGATGTTTGTGTTCGAGCCACAGAGTTTAACATTGCTTTTCATAGAGCAGTTTTGAAATATTCTTTTGGCAGAATCTGCAAGTGGACATTTGGAGCGCTTTCAGGCCTGTGGTGGAAAAGGCCTGAAAGCCTTTTCCTTTATCTTCACAGAAAGACGAGAGAGAAGCATTGTCAGAAACTTCTTTGTGATGATTGCATTCAACTCAGAGTTGAAGATTCCTTTTGAAACAGCAGTTTCGAAACACTCTTTCTGTGGGATCCGCAAGGGGATATTTGGACCTCTTTGAAGGTTTCGTTGGAAACGGGATAATCTTCACCTAAAAGCTAAACGGAAGCATTCTCATAAACTTCTTTGGGATGTTTGCTTTCACCTCACAGAGTTGAACTTTCCCTTTGATAGCGCAGCTTTGACACACTTTTTCTACAATGTGCAAGTGGCTCTTTAGCGGGCTTGGAGGACTGTGTTGGAAAAGGAAATATCTTCTCCTAAAAACGACATAGAAGCATTCTCAGAAACTGCTCTGTGATGATTGCATTCAACTCCCAGAGTTGAACGTTCCTTTTGATAGAGCAGTTTGCAAACACTCTTTTTGTAGAATCTGCAAGTGGAGATTTGGACCGCTTTGAGGCCTGTGGTAGTGAAGGAAAGAGCTTCATATAAAAACCAGACGGTAGCACTCTCAGAAAATTCTTTGTGACGATGGAGTTTAACTCAGGGAGCTGAACATTCGTTATGATGGAGCAGTTTCCAAACACACGTTTTGTAGAATCTGCAAGGGGATATTTGGACCTCTCTGAGGATTTCGTTGGAAACGGGATCAACTTCCCATAACTGAACGGAAGCAAACTCAGAACATTCTTTGTGATGTTTGTATTCAACTCACAGGGTTGAACCTTCCTTTGATAGTTCAGGTTTGCAACACCCTTGTAGTAGAATCTGCAAGTGTATATTTTGACCACTTTGTAGCCTTCGTTTGAAACGTCTATATCTTCACATCAAACCTAGACAGAAGCATTCTCAGAAAGTTTTCTGCGATGACTGCATTCAACTCACAGAGTTGAACAATCCTTCTGATGGAGCAGTTTTGAAACCCACTTTCTTTGGAATCTGCAAGGGGATATGTGGACCTCTTTGAAGATTTCACTGGAAACGGGATCATCTTCACATAAAAACTAAACAGAAGCATTCTCGGAAACTACTTTGTGATGTTTGTATTCAACTCCCAGAGTTGAACTTTCCTTTTGAAAGAGCAGCTATGAAACTCTCTTTTTCGAGAATCTGCAAGTGGACGTTTGGAGGGCTTTGAGGCCTGTGGTGGAAAAGGAAATATCTTCACATAAAAACTAGATAGAAGCATTCTCAGAAACGACTTTGTGAGGATGGCATTCAACTCATGGAGTTGAACAATCCTATTGATAGAGCAGATTGGAATCACTCTTTTTGTAGAATCTGCAAATGGAGATTTGGACTGCTTTGAGGCCTACGGTCGTATAGGAAGGAACTTCATATAAAAGGCAAACGGAAGCATTCTCAGAATATTCTTTGTGATGATGGAGTTTCACTCACAGAGCTGAACATGCCTTTTGATGGAGCAGTTTCCAAATACACTTTTGGTAGAATCTGCAGGTGGACATTTGGACCTCTCTGAGGATTTCGTTGGAAACGGGAATAATTTCCCATAACTAAACACAAACACTCTGAGAAAGTTCTTCATGATGAATGCATTTAACTCGCAGAGATGAACCTGCCTTTGAGAGTTCAGGTTCGAAACACTCTTTCTGTAGAATCTGCAAGTGGATATTTGGACCACTGGGTGGCCTTCGTTCGAAACGGGTATATGTTCACGTAAAAACTAAAGATAAGCATTCTCAGAAACTTCTGAGTGATGATTGCATTCAAGTCACACAGTTGAACCCTCCTTTTGATTGAGCAGTTTTGAAACTGTCTTTTTGTAGATTCTGTAAGTGGATACGTGGACCTCTTTGAAGATTTCTTTGGAAACGGGAATATTTCCACAGAAAAACTAAACTGAAGCATTCTCAGAAACTGCTTTGTGATGTTTGTGTTCGAGCCGCAGAGTTTAACATTGCTTTTCATAGAGCAGTTTTGAAATATTCTTTTGGCAGAATCTGCAAGTGGACATTTGGAGCACTTTCAGGCCTGTGGTGGAAAAGGCCTGAAAGCCTTTTCCTTTATCTTCACAGAAAGACGAGGGAGAAGCATTGTCAGAAACTTCTTTGTGATGATTGCATTCAACTCACAGAGTTGAAGATTCCTTTTGAAACAGCAGTTTCGAAACACTCTTTCTGTGGGATCTGCAAGGGGATATTTGGACCTCTTTGAAGATTTCGTTGGAAACGGGATAATCTTCACCTAAAAGCTGAAAGGAAGCATTCTCAGAAACTTCTTTGGGATGTTTGCATTCACCTCACAGAGTTGAACTTTCCCTTTGATAGCGCAGCTTCGACACACTTTGTCTACAATGTGCAAGTGGATATTTAGCGGGCTTGGAGGACTGTGTTGGAAAAGGAAATATCTTCTCCTAAAAACGACATAGAAGCATTCTCAGAAACTGCTCTGTGATGATTGCATTCAACTCCCAGAGTTGAACATTCCTTTTGATAGAGCAGTTTGCAAACACTCTTTTTGTAGAATCTGCAAGTGGAGATTTGGACCGCTTTGAGGCCTGTGGTAGTAAAGGAAAGAACTTCATATAAAAACCAGACGGTAGCACTCTCAGAAAATTCTTTGTGACGATGGAGTTTAACTCAGAGAGCTGAACATTCGTTATGATGGAGCAGTTTCCAAACACACGTTTTGTAGAATCTGCAAGGGGATATTTGGACCTCTCTGAGGATTTCGTTGGAAACGGGATCAACTTCCCATAACTGAACGGAAGCAAACTCAGAACATTCTTTGTGATGTTTGTATTCAACTCACAGAGTTGAACCTTCCTTTGATAGTTCAGGTTTGCAACACCCTTGTAGTAGAATCTGCAAGTGTATATTTTGACCACTTTGTAGCCTTCGTTTGAAACGTCTATATCTTCACCTCAAACCTAGACAGAAGCATTCTCAGAAAGTTTTCTGCGATGACTGCATTCAACTCACAGATTTGAACAATCCTTTTGATGGAGCAGTTTTGAAACCCTCTTTCTTTGGAATCTGCAAGGGGATATGTGGACCTCTTTGAAGATTTCACTGGAAACGGGATCATCTTCACATAAGAACTAAACAGAAGCATTCTCGGAAACTACTTTGTGATGTTTGTATTCAACTCCCAGAGTTGAACTTTCCTTTTGAAAGAGCAGCTATGAAACACTCTTTTTCGAGAATCTGCAAGTGGACGTTTGGAGGGCTTTGAGGCCTGTGGTGGAAAAGGAAATATCTTCACATAAAAACTAGATAGAAGCATTCTCAGAAACGACTTTGTGAGGATGGCATTCAACTCATGGAGTTGAACAATCCTATTGATAGAGCAGATTGGAATCACTCTTTTGGTAGAATCTGCAAATGGAGATTTGGACTGCTTTGAGGCCTACGGTAGTATAGGAAGGAACTTCATATAAAAGGCAAACGGAAGCATTCTCAGAATATTCTTTGTGATGATGGAGTTTGACTCACAGAGTTGAACATGCCTTTTGATGGAGCAGTTTCCAAATACACTTTTGGTAGAATCTGCAGGTGGATATTTGGACCTCTCTGAGGATTTCGTTGGAAACGGGAATAATTTCCCATACCTAAACACAAACACTCTGAGAAAGTTCTTCATGATGAATGCATTGAACTCGCAGAGATGAACCTGCCTTTGAGAGTTCAGGTTCGAAACACTCTTTCTGTAGAATCTGCAAGTGGATATTTGGACCACTGGGTGGCCTTCATTCGAAACGGGTATATGTTCACGTAAAAACTAAAGAGAAGCATTCTCAGAAACTTCTGCGTGATGATTGCATTCAAGTCACACGGTTGAACCCTCCTTTTGATTGAGCAGTTTTGAAACTGTCTTTTTGTAGAATCTGTAAGCGGGTACGTGGACCTCTTTGAAGATTTCTTTGGAAACGGGAATATTTCCACAGAAAAACTAAACTGAAGCATTCTCAGAAACTGCTTTGTGATGTTTGTGTTCGAGCCGCAGAGTTTAACATTGCTTTTCATAGAGCAGTTTTGAAATATTCTTTTGGCAGAATCTGCAAGTGGACATTTGGAGCGCTTTCAGGCCTGTGGTGGAAAAGGCCTGAAAGCCTTTTCCTTTATCTTCACAGAAAGACGAGAGAGAAGCATTGTCAGAAACTTCTTTGTGATGATTGCATTCAACTCACAGAGTTGAAGATTCCTTTTGAAACAGCAGTTTCGAAACACTCTTTCTGTGGGATCCGCAAGGGGATATTTGGACCTCTTTGAAGATTTCGTTGGAAACGGGATAATCTTCACCTAAAAGCTAAACGGAAGCATTCTCAGAAACTTCTTTGGGATGTTTGCATTCACCTCACAGAGTTGAACTTTCCCTTTGATAGCGCAGCTTCGACACACTTTTTCTACAATGTGCAAGTGGATATTTAGCGGGCTTGGAGGACTGTGTTGGAAAAGGAAATATCTTCTCCTAAAAACGACATAGAAGCATTCTCAGAAACTGCTCTGTGATGATTGCATTCAACTCCCAGAGTTGAACATTCCTTTTGATAGAGCAATTTGCAAACACTCTTTTTGTAGAATCTGCAAGTGGAGATTTGGACCGCTTTGAGGCCTGTGGTAGTAAAGGAAAGAACTTCATATAAAAAGTAGACGGTAGCAGTCTCAGAAAATTCTTTGTGACGATGGAGTTTAACTCAGAGAGCTGAACATTCGTTATGATGGAGCAGTTTCCAAACACACGTTTTGTAGAATCTGCAAGGGGATATTTGGACCTCTCTGAGGATTTCGTTGGAAACGGGATCAACTTCCCATAACTGAACGGAAGCAAACTCAGAACATTCTTTGTGATGTTTGTATTCAACTCACAGAGTTGAACCTTCCTTTGATAGTTCAGGTTTGCAACACCCTTGTAGTAGAATCTGCAAGTGTATATTTTGACCACTTTGTAGCCTTCGTTTGAAACGTCTATATCTTCACATCAAACCTAGACAGAAGCATTCTCAGAAAGTTTTCTGCGATGACTGCATTCAACTCACAGAGTTGAACAATCCTTCTGATGGAGCAGTTTTGAAACCCTCTTTCTTTGGAATCTGCAAGGGGATATGTGGACCTCTTTGAAGATTTCACTGGAAACGGGATCATCTTCACATAAAAACTAAACAGAAGCATTCTCGGAAACTACTTTGTGATGTTTGTATTCAACTCCCAGAGTTGAACTTTCCTTTTGAAAGAGCAGCTATGAAACACTCTTTTTCGAGAATCTGCAAGTGGACGTTTGGAGGGCTTTGAGGCCTGTGGTGGAAAAGGAAATATCTTCACATAAAAACTAGATAGAAGCATTCTCAGAAACGACTTTGTGAGGATGGCATTCAACTCATGGAGTTGAACAATCCTATTGATAGAGCAGATTGGAATCACTCTTTTTGTAGAATCTGCAAATGGAGATTTGGACTGCTTTGAGGCCTACGGTCGTATAGGAAGGAACTTCATATAAAAGGCAAACGGAAGCATTCTCAGAATATTCTTTGTGATGATGGAGTTTCACTCACAGAGCTGAACATGCCTTTTGATGGAGCAGTTTCCAAATACACTTTTGGTAGAATCTGCAGGTGGATATTTGGAGCTCTCTGAGGATTTCTTTGGAAACGGGAATAATTTCCCATAACTAAACACAAACACTCTGAGAAAGTTCTTCATGATGAATGCATTTAACTCGCAGAGATGAACCTGCCTTTGAGAGTTCAGGTTCGAAACACTCTTTCTGTAGAATCTGCAAGTGGATATTTGGACCACTGGCTGGCCTTCGTTCGAAACGGGTATATGTTCACGTAAAAACTAAAGAGAAGCATTCTCAGAAACTTCTGAGTGATGATTGCATTCAAGTCACACAGTTGAACCCTCCTTTTGATGGAGCAGTTTTGAAACTGTCTTTTTGTAGAATCTGTAAGTGGATACGTGGACCTCTTTGAAGATTTCTTTGGAAACGGGAATATTTCCACAGAAAAACTAAACTGAAGCATTCTCAGAAACCGCTTTGTGATGTTTGTGTTCGAGCCGCAGAGTTTAACATTGCTTTTCATAGAGCAGTTTTGAAATATTCTTTTGGCAGAATCTGCAAGTGGACATTTGGAGCGCTTTCAGGCCTGTGGTGGCAAAGGCCTGAAAGCCTTTTCCTTTATCTTCACAGAAAGACGAGAGAGAAGCATTGTCAGAAACTTCTTTGTGATGATTGCATTCAACTCACAGAGTTGAAGATTCCTTTTGAAACAGCAGTTTCGAAACACTCTTTCTGTGGGATCCGCAAGGGGATATTTGGACCTCTTTGAAGGTTTCGTTGGAAACGGGATAATCTTCACCTAAAAGCTAAACGGAAGCATTCTCAGAAACTTCTTTGGGATGTTTGCATTCACCTCACAGAGTTGAACTTTCCCTTTGATAGCGCAGCTTTGACACACTTTTTCTACAATGTGCAAGTGGCTATTTAGCGGGCTTGGAGGACTGTGTTGGAAAAGGAAATATCTTCTCCTAAAAACGACATAGAAGCATTCTCAGAAACTGCTCTGTGATGATTGCATTCAACTCCCAGAGTTGAACATTCCTTTTGATAGAGCAGTTTGCAAACACTCTTTTTGTAGAATCTGCAAGTGGAGATTTGGACCGCTTTGAGGCCTGTGGTAGTGAAGGAAAGAACTTCATATAAAAACCAGACGGTAGCACTCTCAGAAAATTCTTTGTGACGATGGAGTTTAACTCAGGGAGCTGAACATTCGTTATGATGGAGCAGTTTCCAAACACATGTTTTGTAGAATCTGCGAGGGGATATTTGGACCTCTCTGAGGATTTCGTTGGAAACGGGATCAACTTCCCATAACTGAACGGAAGCAAACTCAGAACATTCTTTGTGATGTTTGTATTCAACTCACAGAGTTGAACCTTCCTTTGATAGTTCAGGTTTGCAACACCCTTGTAGTAGAATCTGCAAGTGTATATTTTGACCACTTTGTAGCCTTCGTTTGAAACGTCTATATCTTCACATCAAACCTAGACAGAAGCATTCTCAGAAAGTTTTCTGCGATGACTGCATTCAACTCACAGAGTTGAACAATCCTTCTGATGGAGCAGTTTTGAAACCCTCTTTCTTTGGAATCTGCAAGGGGATATGTGGACCTCTTTGAAGATTTCACTGGAAACGGGATCATCTTCACATAAAAACTAAACTGAAGCATTCTCGGAAACTATTTTGTGATGTTTCTATTCAACTCCCAGAGTTGAACTTTCCTTTTGAAAGAGCAGCTATGAAACACTCTTTTTCGAGAATCTGCAAGTGGACGTTTGGAGGGCTTTGAGGCCTGTGGTGGAAAAGGAAATATCTTCACACAAAAACCAGATAGAAGCATTCTCAGAAACTACTTTGTGAGGATGGCATTCAACTCATGGAGTTGAACAATCCTATTGATAGAGCAGATTGGAATCACTCTTTTTGTAGAATCTGCAAATGGAGATTTGGACTGCTTTGAGGCCTACGGTAGTACAGGAAGGAACTTCATATAAAAGGCAAACGGAAGCATTCTCAGAATATTCTTTGTGATGATGGAGTTTCACTCACAGAGCTGAACATGCCTTTTGATGGAGCAGTTTCCAAATACACTTTTGGTAGAATCTGCAGGTGGATATTTGGAGCTCTCTGAGGATTTCTTTGGAAACGGGAATAATTTCCCATAACTAAACACAAACACGCTGAGAAAGTTCTTCATGATGAATGCATTTAACTCGCAGAGATGAACCTTCCTTTGAGAGTTCAGGTTCGAAACACTCTTTCTGTAGAATCTGCAAGTGGATATTTGGTCCACTGGGTGGCCTTCGTTCGAAACGGGTATATGTTCACGTAAAAACTAAAGAGAAGCATTCTCAGAAACTTCTGAGTGATGATTGCATTCAAGTCACACAGTTGAACCCTCCTTTTGATGGAGCAGTTTTGAAACTGTCTTTTTGTAGAATCTGTAAGTGGATACGTGGACCTCTTTGAAGATTTCTTTGGAAACGGGAATATTTCCACAGAAAAACTAAACTGAAGCATTCTCAGAAACTGCTTTGTGATGTTTGTGTTCGAGCCACAGAGTTTAACATTGCTTTTCATAGAGCAGTTTTGAAATATTCTTTTCGCAGAATCTGCAAGTGGACATTTGGAGCGCTTTCAGGCCTGTGGTGGAAAAGGCCTGAAAGCCTTTTCCTTTATCTTCACAGAAAGACGAGAGAGAAGCATTGTCAGAAACTTCTTTGTGATGATTGCATTCAACTCACAGAGTTGAAGATTCCTTTTGAAACAGCAGTTTCGAAACACTCTTTCTGAGGGATCCGCAAGGGGATATTTGGACCTCTTTGAAGGTTTCGTTGGAAGCGGGATAATCTTCACCTAAAAGCTAAACGGAAGCACTCTCAGAAACTTCTTTGGGATGTTTGCATTCACCTCACAGAGTTGAACTTTCCCTTTGATAGCGCAGCTTTGACACACTTTTTCTACAATGTGCAAGTGGCTATTTAGCGGGCTTGGAGGACTGTGTTGGAAAAGGAAATATCTTCTCCTAAAAACGACATAGAAGCATTCTCAGAAACTGCTCTGTGATGATTGCATTCAACTCCCAGGGTTGAACATTCCTTTTGATAGAGCAGTTTGCAAACACTCTTTTTGTAGAATCTGCAAGTGGAGATTTGGACCGCTTTGAGGCCTATGGTAGTAAAGGAAAGAACTTCATATAAAAACCAGACGGTAGCACTCTCAGAAAATTCTTTGTGACGATGGAGTTTAACTCAGGGAGCTGAACATTCGTTATGATGGAGCAGTTTCCAAACACACGTTTTGTAGAATCTGCAAGGGGATATTTGGACCTCTCTGAGGATTTCGTTGGAAACGGGATCAACTTCCCATAACTGAACGGAAGCAAACTCAGAACATTCTTTGTGATGTTTGTATTCAACTCACAGAGTTGAACCTTCCTTTGATAGTTCAGGTTTGCAACACCCTTGTAGTAGAATCTGCAAGTGTATATTTTGACCACTTTGTAGCCTTCGTTTGAAACGTCTATATCTTCACATCAAACCTAGAAAGAAGCATTCTCAGAAAGTTTTCTGCGATGACTGCATTCAACTCACAGAGTTGAACAATCCTTTTGATGGAGCAGTTTTGAAACCCTCTTTCTTTGGAATCTGCAAGGGGATATGTGGACCTCTTTGAAGATTTCACTGGAAACGGGATCATCTTCACATAAAAACTAAACAGAAGCAATCTCGGAAGCTATTTTGTGATGTTTGTATTCAACTCCCAGAGTTGAACTTTCCTTTTGAAAGAGCAGCTATGAAACACTCTTTTTCGAGAATCTGCAAGTGGACGTTTGGAGGGCTTTGAGGCCTGTGGTGGAAAAGGAAATATCTTCACACAAAAACCAGATAGAAGCATTCTCAGAAACTACTTTGTGAGGATGGCATTCAACTCATGGAGTTGAACAATCCTATTGATAGAGCAGATTGGAATCACTCTTTTTGTAGAATCTGCAAATGGAGATTTGGACTGCTTTGAGGCCTACGGTAGTATAGGAAGGAACTTCATATAAAAGGCAAACGGAAGCATTCTCAGAATATTCTTTGTGATGATGGAGTTTCACTCACAGAGCTTAACATGCCTTTTGTTGGAGCAGTTTCCAAATACACTTTTGGTAGAATCTGCAGGTGGATATTTGGAGCTCTCTGAGGATTTCGTTGGAAACGGGAATAATTTCCCATAACTAAACACAAACACTCTGAGAAAGTTCTTCATGATGAATGCATTTAACTCGCAGAGATGAACCTGCCTTTGAGAGTTCAGGTTCGAAACACTCTTTCTGTAGAATCTGCAAGTGGATATTTGGACCACTGGGTGGCCTTCGTTCGAAACGGGTATATGTTCACGTAAAAACTAAAGAGAAGCATTCTCAGAAACTTCTGAGTGATGATTGCATTCAAGTCACACAGTTGAACCCTCCTTTTGATGGAGCAGTTTTGAAACTGTCTTTTTGTAGAATCTGTAAGTGGATACGTGGACCTCTTTGAAGATTTCTTTGGAAACGGGAATATTTCCACAGAAAAACTAAACTGAAGCATTCTCAGAAACTGCTTTGTGATGTTTGTGTTCGAGCCACAGAGTTTAACATTGCTTTTCATAGAGCAGTTTTGAAATATTCTTTTGGCAGAATCTACAAGTGGACATTTGGAGCGCTTTCAGGCCTGTGGTGGAAAAGGCCTGAAAGCCTTTTCCTTTATCTTCACAGAAAGACGAGAGAGAAGCATTGTCAGAAACTTCTTTGTGATGATTGCATTCAACTCACAGAGTTGAAGATTCCTTTTGAAACAGCAGTTTCGAAACACTCTTTCTGTGGGATCCGCAAGGGGATATTTGGACCTCTTTGAAGGTTTCGTTGGAAACGGGATAATCTTCACCTAAAAGCTAAACGGAAGCATTCTCAGAAACTTCTTTGGGATGTTTGCATTCACCTCACAGAGTTGAACTTTCCCTTTGATAGCGCAGCTTTGACACACTTTTTCTACAATGTGCAAGTGGCTATTTAGCGGGCTTGGAGGACTGTGTTGGAAAAGGAAATATCTTCTCCTAAAAACGACATAGAAGCATTCTCAGAAACTGCTCTGTGATGATTGCATTCAACTCCCAGAGTTGAACATTCCTTTTGATAGAGCAGTTTGCAAACACTCTTTTTGTAGAATCTGCAAGTGGAGATTTGGACCGCTTTGAGGCCTGTGGTAGTGAAGGAAAGAGCTTCATATAAAAACCAGACGGTAGCACTCTCAGAAAATTCTTTGTGACGATGGAGTTTAACTCAGGGAGCTGAACATTCGTTATGATGGAGCAGTTTCCAAACACACGTTTTGTAGAATCTGCAAGGGGATATTTGGACCTCTCTGAGGATTTGGTTGGAAACGGGATCAACTTCCCATAACTGAACGGAAGCAAACTCAGAACATTCTTTGTGATGTTTGTATTCAACTCACAGAGTTGAACCTTCCTTTGATAGTTCAGGTTTGCAACACCCTTGTAGTAGAATCTGCAAGTGTATATTTTGACCACTTTGTAGCCTTCGTTTGAAACGTCTATATCTTCACATCAAACCTAGACAGAAGCATTCTCAGAAAGTTTTCTGCGATGACTGCATTCAACTCACAGAGTTGAACAATCCTTCTGATGGAGCAGTTTTGAAACCCTCTTTCTTTGGAATCTGCAAGGGGATATGTGGACCTCTTTGAAGATTTCACTGGAAACGGGATCATCTTCACATAAAAACTAAACAGAAGCATTCTCGGAAACTACTTTGTGATGTTTGTATTCAACTCCCAGAGTTGAACTTTCCTTTTGAAAGAGCAGCTATGAAACACTCTTTTTCGAGAATCTGCAAGTGGACGTTTGGAGGGCTTTGAGGCCTGTGGTGGAAAAGGAAATATCTTCACATAAAAACTAGATAGAAGCATTCTCAGAAACTACTTTGTGACGATGGCATTCAACTCATGGAGTTGAACAATCCTATTGATAGAGCAGATTGGAATCACTCTTTTTGTAGAATCTGCAAATGGAGATTTGGACTGCTTTGAGGCCTACGGTAGTATGGGAAGGAACTTCATATAAAAGGCAAACGGAAGCATTCTCAGAATATTCTTTGTGATGATGGAGTTTCACTCACAGAGCTGAACATGCCTTTTGATGGAGCAGTTTCCAAATACACTTTTGGTAGAATCTGCAGGTGGATATTTGGACCTCTCTGAGGATTTCGTTGGAAACGGGAATAATTTCCCATAACTAAACACAAACACTCTGAGAAAGTTCTTCATGATGAATGCATTGAACTCGCAGAGATGAACCTGCCTTTGAGAGTTCAGGTTCGAAACACTCTTTCTGTAGAATCTGCAAGTGGATATTTGGACCACTGGCTGGCCTTCGTTCGAAACGGGTATATGTTCACGTAAAAACTAAAGAGAAGCATTCTCAGAAACTTCTGAGTGATGATTGCATTCAAGTCACACGGTTGAACCCTCCTTTTGATTGAGCAGTTTTGAAACTGTCTTTTTGTAGAATCTGTAAGAGGACACGTGGACATCTTTGAAGATTTCTTTGGAAACGGGAATATTTCCACAGAAAAACTAAACTGAAGCATTCTCAGAAACCGCTTTGTGATGTTTGTGTTCGAGCCACAGAGTTTAACATTGCTTTTCATAGAGCAGTTTTGAAATATTCTTTTCGCAGAATCTGCAAGTGGACATTTGGAGCGCTTTCAGGCCTGTGGTGGAAAAGGCCTGAAAGCCTTTTCCTTTATCTTCACAGAAAGACGAGAGAGAAGCATTGTCAGAAACTTCTTTGTGATGATTGCATTCAACTCACAGAGTTGAAGATTCCTTTTGAAACAGCAGTTTCGAAACACTCTTTCTGTGGGATCCGCAAGGGGATATTTGGACCTCTTTGAAGGTTTCGTTGGAAACGGGATAATCCTCACCTAAAAGCTAAACGGAAGCATTCTCAGAAACTTCTTTGGGATGTTTGCATTCACCTCACAGAGTTGAACTTTCCCTTTGATAGCGCAGCTTTGACACACTTTTTCTACAATGTGCAAGTGGCTATTTAGCGGGCTTGGAGGACTGTGTTGGAAAAGGAAATATCTTCTCCTAAAAACGACATAGAAGCATTCTCAGAAACTGCTCTGTGATGATTGCATTCAATTCCCAGAGTTGAACATTCCTTTTGATAGAGCAGTTTGCAAACACTCTTTTTGTAGAATCTGCAAGTGGAGATTTGGACCGCTTTGAGGCCTGTGGTAGTGAAGGAAAGAACTTCATATAAAAACCAGACGGTAGCACTCTCAGAAAATTATTTGTGACGATGGAGTTTAACTCAGAGAGCTGAACATTCGTTATGATGGAGCAGTTTCCAAACACACGTTTTGTAGAATCTGCAAGGGGATATTTGGACCTCTCTGAGGATTTCGTTGGAAACGGGATCAACTTCCCATAACTGAACGGAAGCAAACTCAGAACATTCTTTGTGATGTTTGTATTCAACTCACAGAGTTGAACCTTCCTTTGATAGTTGAGGTTTGCATCACCCTTGTAGTAGAATCTGCAAGTGTATATTTTGACCACTTAGTAGCCTTCGTTTGAAAAGTCTATATCTTCACATCAAACCTAGACAGAAGCATTCTCAGAAAGTTTTCTGCGATGACTGCATTCAACTCACAGATTTGAACAATCCTTTTGATGGAGCAGTTTTGAAACCCTCTTTCTTTGGAATCTGCAATGGGATATGTGGACCTCTTTGAAGATTTCACTGGAAACGGGATCATCTTCACATAAGAACTAAACAGAAGCATTCTCGGAAACTACTTTGTGATGTTTGTATTCAACTCCCAGAGTTGAACTTTCCTTTTGAAAGAGCAGCTATGAAACACTCTTTTTCGAGAATCTGCAAGTGGACGTTTGGAGGGCTTTGAGGCCTGTGGTGGAAAAGGAAATATCTTCACATAAAAACTAGATAGAAAGCATTCTCACAAACGAATTTGTGAGGATGGCATTCAAATCATGGAGTTCAACAATCCTATTGATAGAGCAGATTGGAATCACTCTTTTTGTAGAATCTGCAAATGGAGATTTGGACTGCTTTGAGGCCTACGGTAGTATAGGAAGGAACTTCATATAAAAGGCAAACGGAAGCATTCTCAGAATATTCTTTGTGATGATGGAGTTTCACTCACAGAGCTGAACATGCCTTTTGATGGAGCAGTTTCCAAATACACTTTTGGTAGAATCTGCAGGTGGATATTTGGACCTCTCTGAGGATTTCGTTGGAAACGGGAATAATTTCCCATAACTAAACACAAACACGCTGAGAAAGTTCTTCATGATGAATGCATTGAACTCGCAGAGATGAAGCTGCCTTTGAGAGTTCAGGTTCGAAACACCTCTTTCTGTAGAATCTGACAAGTGGATATTTGGACCACTGGGTGGCCTTCGTTCGAAACGGGTATATGTTCACGTAAAAACTAAAGAGAAGCATTCTCAGAAACTTCTGAGTGATGATCGCTTTCAAGTCACATGGTTGAACCCTCCTTTTGATTGAGCAGTTTTGAAACTGTCTTTTTGTAGAATCTGTAAGTGGATACGTGGACCTCCTTGAAGATGTCTTTCGAAACGGGAATATTTCCACAGAAAAACTAAACGGAAGCATTCTCAGAAACTGCTTTGTGATGTTTGTGTTCGAGCCACAGAGTTTAACATTGCTTCTCATAGAGCAGTTTTGAAATATTCTTTTCGCAGAATCTGCAAGTGGACATTTGGAGCTCTTTCAGGCCTGTGGTGGAAAAGGCCTGAAAGCCTTTTCCTTTATCTTCACAGAAAGACGAGAGAGAAGCATTGTCAGAAACTTCTTTGTGATGATTGCATTCAACTCACAGAGTTGAAGATTCCTTTTGAAACAGCAGTTTCGAAACACTCTTTCTGTGGGATCCGCAAGGGGATATTTGGACCTCTTTGAAGATTTCGTTGGAAACGGGATAATCTTCACCTAAAAGCTAAACGGAAGCATTCTCAGAAACTTCTTTGGGATGTTTGCATTCACCTCACAGAGTTGAACTTTCCCTTTGATAGCGCAGCTTCGACACACTTTTTCTGCAATGTGCAAGTGGATATTTAGTGGGCTTGGAGGACTGTGGTGGAAAAGGAAATATCTTCTCCTAAAAACGACATAGAAGCATTCTCAGGAACTGCTCTGTGATGATTGCATTCAACTCCCAGAGTTGAACATTCCTTTTGATAGAGCAGTTTGCAAACACTCTTTTTGTAGAATCTGCAAGTGGAGATTTGGACCGCTTTGAGGCCTGTGGTAGTAAAGGAAAGAACTTCATATAAAAACTAGACGGTAGCACTCTCAGAAAATTCTTTGTGACGATGGAGTTTAACTCAGAGAGCTGAACATTCGTTATGATGGAGCAGTTTCCAAACACACGTTTTGCAGAATCTGCAAGGGGATATTTGGACCTCTCTGAGGATTTCGTTGCAAACGGGATCAACTTCCCATAACTGAACGGAAGCAAACTCAGAACATTCTTTGTGATGTTTGTATTCAACTCACAGAGTTGAACCTTCCTTTGATAGTTCAGGTTTGCAACACCCTTGTAGTAGAATCTGCAAGTGTATATTTTGACCACTTTGTAGCCTTCGTTTGAAACGTCTATATCTTCACATTAAACCTAGACAGAAGCATTCTCAGAAAGTTTTCTGCGATGACTGCATTCAACTCACAGAGTTGAACAATCCTTTTGATGGAGCAGTTTTGAAACCCTCTTTCTTTGGAATCTGCAAGGGGATATGTGGACCTCTTTGAAGATTTCACTGGAAACGGGATCATCTTCACATAAGAACTAAACAGAAGCATTCTCGGAAACTACTTTGTGATGTTTGTATTCAACTCCCAGAGTTGAACTTTCCTTTTGAAAGAGCAGCTATGAAACACTCTTTTTCGAGAATCTGCAAGTGGATGTTTGGAGGGCTTTGAGTCCTGTGGTGGAAAAGGAAATATCTTCACATAAAAACTAGATAGAAGCATTCTCAGAAACGACTTTGTGAGGAAGGCATTCAACTCATGGAGTTGAACAATCCTATTGATAGAGCAGATTGGAATCACTCTTTTTGTAGAATCTGCAAATGGAGATTTGGACTGCTTTGAGGCCTACGGTAGTATAGGAAGGAACTTCATATAAAAGGCAAACGGAAGCATTCTCAGAATATTCTTTGTGATGATGGAGTTTCACTCACAGAGCTGAACATGCCTTTTGATGGAGCAGTTTCCAAATACACTTTTGGTAGAATCTGCAGGTGGATATTTGGACCTCTCGGAGGATTTCGTTGGAAACGGGAATAATTTCCCATAACTAAACACAAACACTCTGAGAAAGTTCTTCATGATGAATGCATTTAACTCGCAGAGATGAACCTGCCTTTGAGAGTTCAGGTTCGAAACACTCTTTCTGTAGAATCTGCAAGTGGATATTTGGACCACTGGGTGGCCTTCGTTCGAAACGGGTATATGTTCACGTAAAAACTAAAGAGAAGCATTCTCAGAAACTTCTGAGTGATGATTGCATTCAAGTCACACAGTTGAACCCGCCTTTTGTTTGAGCAGTTTTGAAACTGTCTTTTTGTAGAATCTGTAAGTGGATACGTGGACCTCTTTGAAGATTTCTTTGGAAAGGGGAATATTTCCACAGAAAAACTAAACTGAAGCATTCTCAGAGACCGCTTTGTGATGTTTGTTTTCGAGCCACAGAGTTTAACATTGCTTTTCATAGAGCAGTTTTGAAATATTCTTTTGGCAGAATCTGCAAGTGGACATTTGGAGCGCTTTCAGGCCTGTGGTGGCAAAGGCCTGAACGCCTTTTCCTTTATGTTCACAGAAAGACGAGAGAGAAGCATTGTCAGAAACTTCTTTGTGATGATTGCATTCAACTCACAGAGTTGATTTTCCTTTTGAAACAGCAGTTTCGAAACACTCTTTCTGTGGGATCCGCAAGGGGATATTTGGACCTCTTTGAAGGTTTCGTTGGAAACGGGATAATCTTCACCTAAAAGCTAAACGGAAGCATTCTCAGAAACTTCTTTGGGATGTTTGCATTCACCTCACAGAGTTGAACTTTCCCTTTGATAGCGCAGCTTTGACACACTTTTTCTACAATGTGCAAGTGGCTATTTAGCGGGCTTGGAGGACTGTGTTGGAAAAGGAAATATCTTCTCCTAAAAACGACATAGAAGCATTCTCAGAAACTGCTCTGTGATGATTGCATTCAACTCCCAGAGTTGAACATTCCTTTTGATACAGCAGTTTGCAAACACTCTTTTTGTAGAATCTGCAAGTGGAGATTTGGACCGCTTTGAGGCCTGTGGTAGTGAAGGAAAGAACTTCATATAAAAACCAGACGGTAGCACTCTCAGAAAATTCTTTGTGACGATGGAGTTTAACTCAGGGAGCTGAACATTCGTTATGATGGAGCAGTTTCCAAACACACGTTTTGTAGAATCTGCGAGGGGATATTTGGACCTCTCTGAGGATTTCGTTGGAAACGGGATCAACTTCCCATAACTGAACGGAAGCAAACTCAGAACATTCTTTGTGATGTTTGTATTCAACTCACAGAGTTGAACCTTCCTTTGATAGTTCAGGTTTGCAACACCCTTGTAGTAGAATCTGCAAGTGTATATTTTGACCACTTTGTAGCCTTCGTTTGAAACGTCTATATCTTCACGTCAAACCTAGACAGAAGCATTCTCAGAAAGTTTTCTGCGATGACTGCATTCAACTCACACAGTTGAACAATCCTTCTGATGGAGCAGTTTTGAAACCCTCTTTCTTTGGAATCTGCAAGGGGATATGTGGACCTCTTTGAAGATTTCACTGGAAACGGGATCATCTTCACATAAAAACTAAACAGAAGCATTCTCGGAAACTATTTTGTGATGTTTGTATTCAACTCCCAGAGTTGAACTTTCCTTTTGAAAGAGCAGCTATGAAACACTCTTTTTCGAGAATCTGCAAGTGGACGTTTGGAGGGCTTTGAGGCCTGTGGTGGAAAAGGAAATATCTTCACACAAAAACCAGATAGAAGCATTCTCAGAAACTACTTTGTGAGGATGGCATTCAACTCATGGAGTTGAACAATCCTATTGATAGAGCAGATTGGAATCACTCTTTTTGTAGAATCTGCAAATGGAGATTTGGACTGCTTTGAGGCCTACGGTAGTACAGGAAGGAACTTCATATAAAAGGCAAACGGAAGCATTCTCAGAATATTCTTTGTGATGATGGAGTTTCACTCACAGAGCTGAACATGCCTTTTGATGGAGCAGTTTCCAAATACACTTTTGGTAGAATCTGCAGGTGGATATTTGGAGCTCTCTGAGGATTTCGTTGGAAACGGGAATAATTTCCCATAACTAAACACAAAACACTCTGAGAAAGTTCTTCATTTAGAATGCATTGAACTCGCAGAGATGAACCTGCCTTTGAGAGTTCAGGTTCGAAACACTCTTTCTGTAGAATCTGCAAGTGGATATTTGGACCACTGGCTGGCCTTCGTTCGAAACGGGTATATGTTCACGTAAAAACTAAAGAGAAGCATTCTCAGAAACTTCTGAGTGATGATTGCATTCAAGTCACACAGTTGAACCCTCCTTTTGATGGAGCAGTTTTGAAACTGTCTTTTTGTAGAATCTGTAAGTGGATACGTGGACCTCTTTGAAGATTTCTTTGGAAACGGGAATATTTCCACAGAAAAACTAAACTGAATCATTCTCAGAAACCGCTTTGTGATGTTTGTGTTCGAGCCACAGAGTTTAACATTGCTTTTCATAGAGCAGTTTTGAAATATTCTTTTGGCAGAATCTGCAAGTGGACATTTGGAGCGCTTTCAGGCCTGTGGTGGAAAAGGCCTGAAAGCCTTTTCCTTTATCTTCACAGAAAGACGAGAGAGAAGCATTGTCAGAAACTTCTTTGTGATGATTGCATTCAACTCACAGAGTTGAAGATTCCTTTTGAAACAGCAGTTTCGAAACACTCTTTCTGTGGGATCCGCAAGGGGATATTTGGACCTCTTTGAAGGTTTCGTTGGAAACGGGATAATCTTCACCTAAAAGCTAAACGGAAGCATTCTCAGAAACTTCTTTGGGATGTTTGCATTCACCTCACAGAGTTGAACTTTCCCTTTGATAGCGCAGCTTTGACACACTTTTTCTACAATGTGCAAGTGGCTATTTAGCGGGCTTGGAGGACTGTGTTGGAAAAGGAAATATCTTCTCCTAAAAACGACATAGAAGCATTCTCAGAAACTGCTCTGTGATGATTGCATTCAACTCCCAGAGTTGAACATTCCTTTTGATAGAGCAGTTTGCAAACACTCTTTTTGTAGAATCTGCAAGTGGAGATTTGGACCGCTTTGAGGTCTGTGGTAGTGAAGGAAAGAACTTCATATAAAAACCAGACGGTAGCACTCTCAGAAAATTCTTTGTGACGATGGAGTTTAACTCAGGGAGCTGAACATTCGTTATGATGGAGCAGTTTCCAAACACACGTTTTGTAGAATCTGCAAGGGGATATTGGGACCTCTCTGAGGATTTCGTTGGAAACGGGATCAACTTCCCATAACTGAACGGAAGCAAACTCAGAACATTCTTTGTGATGTTTGTATTCAACTCACAGAGTTGAACCTTCCTTTGATAGTTCAGGTTTGCAACACCCTTGTAGTAGAATCTGCAAGTGTATATTTTGACCACTTTGTAGCCTTCGTTTGAAACGTCTATATCTTCACATCAAACCTAGACAGAAGCATTCTCAGAAAGTTTTCTGCGATGACTGCATTCAACTCACAGAGTTGAACAATCCTTCTGATGGAGCAGTTTTGAAACCCTCTTTCTTTGGAATCTGCAAGGGGATATGTGGACCTCTTTGAAGATTTCACTGGAAACGGGATCATCTTCACATAAAAACTAAACAGAAAGCATTCTCGGAAACTATTTTGTGATGTTTGCATTCAACTCCCAGAGTTGAACTTTCCTTTTGAAAGAGCAGCTATGAAACACTCTTTTTCGAGAATCTGCAAGTGGACGTTTGGAGGGCTTTGAGGCCTGTGGTGGAAAAGGAAATATCTTCACACAAAAACCAGATAGAAGCATTCTCAGAAACTACTTTGTGAGGATGGCATTCAACTCATGGAGTTGAACAATCCTATTGATAGAGCAGATTGGAATCACTCTTTTTGTAGAATCTGCAAATGGAGATTTGGACTGCCTTGAGGCCTACGGTAGTACAGGAAGGAACTTCATATAAAAGGCAAACGGAAGCATTCTCAGAATATTCTTTGTGATGATGGAGTTTCACTCACAGAGCTGAACATGCCTTTTGATGGAGCAGTTTCCAAATACACTTTTGGTAGAATCTGCAGGTGGATATTTGGAGCTCTCTGAGGATTTCGTTGGAAACGGGAATAATTTCCCATAACTAAACACAAACACTCTGAGAAAGTTCTTCATGATGAATGCATTTAACTCGCAGAGATGAACCTGCCTTTGAGAGTTCAGGTTCGAAACACTCTTTCTGTAGAATCTGCAAGTGGATATTTGGACCACTGGGTGGCCTTCGTTCGAAACGGGTATATGTTCACGTAAAAACTAAAGAGAAGCATTCTCAGAAACTTCTGAGTGATGATTGCATTCAAGTCACACAGTTGAACCCTCCTTTTGATGGAGCAGTTTTGAAACTGTCTTTTTGTAGAATCTGTAAGTGGATACGTGGACCTCTTTGAAGATTTCTTTGGAAACGGGAATATTTCCACAGAAAAACTAAACTGAAGCATTCTCAGAAACCGCTTTGTGATGTTTGTGTTCGAGCCGCAGAGTTTAACATTGCTTTTCATAGAGCAGTTTTGAAATATTCTTTTGGCAGAATCTGCAAGTGGACATTTGGACCGCTTTCAGGCCTGTGGTGGCAAAGGCCTGAAAGCCTTTTCCTTTATCTTCACAGAAAGACGAGAGAGAAGCATTGTCAGAAACTTCTTTGTGATGATTGCATTCAACTCACAGAGTTGAAGATTCCTTTTGAAACAGCAGTTTCGAAACACTCTTTCTGTGGGATCCGCAAGGGGATATTTGGACCTCTTTGAAGGTTTCGTTGGAAACGGGATAATCTTCACCTAAAAGCTAAACGGAAGCATTCTCAGAAACTTCTTTGGGATGTTTGCATTCACCTCACAGAGTTGAACTTTCCCTTTGATAGCGCAGCTTTGACACACTTTTTCTACAATGTGCAAGTGGCTATTTAGCGGGCTTGGAGGACTGTGTTGGAAAAGGAAATATCTTCTCCTAAAAACGACATAGAAGCATTCTCAGAAACTGCTCTGTGATGATTGCATTCAACTCCCAGAGTTGAACATTCCTTTTGATAGAGCAGTTTGCAAACACTCTTTTTGTAGAATCTGCAAGTGGAGATTTGGACCGCTTTGAGGCCTGTGGTAGTGAAGGAAAGAACTTCATATAAAAACCAGACGGTAACACTCTCAGAAAATTCTTTGTGACGATGGAGTTTAACTCAGGGAGCTGAACATTCGTTATGATGGAGCAGTTTCCAAACACACGTTTTGTAGAATCTGCAAGGGGATATTTGGACCTCTCTGAGGATTTCGTTGGAAACGGGATCAACTTCCCATAACTGAACGGAAGCAAACTCAGAACATTCTTTGTGATGTTTGTATTCAATTCACAGAGTTGAACCTTCCTTTGATAGTTCAGGTTTGCAACACCCTTGTAGTAGAATCTGCAAGTGTATATTTTGACCACTTTGTAGCCTTCGTTTGAAACGTCTATATCTTCACATCAAACCTAGACAGAAGCATTCTCAGAAAGTTTTCTGCGATGACTGCATTCAACTCACAGAGTTGAACAATCCTTCTGATGGAGCAGTTTTGAAACCCTCTTTCTTTGGAATCTGCAAGGGGATATGTGGACCTCTTTGAAGATTTCACTGGAAACGGGATCATCTTCACATAAAAACTAAACAGAAGCATTCTCGGAAACTATTTTGTGATGTTTGTATTCAACTCCCAGAGTTGAACTTTCCTTTTGAAAGAGCAGCTATGAAACACTCTTTTTCGAGAATCTGCAAGTGGACGTTTGGAGGGCTTTGAGGCCTGTGGTGGAAAAGGAAATATCTTCACACAAAAACCAGATAGAAGCATTCTCAGAAACGACTTTGTGAGGATGGCATTCAACTCATGGAGTTGAACAATCCTATTGATAGAGCAGATTGGAATCACTCTTTTTGTAGAATCTGCAAATGGAGATTTGGACTGCTTTGAGGCCTACGGTAGTATAGGAAGGAACTTCATATAAAAGGCAAACGGAAGCATTCTCAGAATATTCTTTGTGATGATGGAGTTTCACTGACAGAGCTGAACATGCCTTTTGATGGAGCAGTTTCCAAATACACTTTTGGTAGAATCTGCAGGTGGATATTTGGAGCTCTCTGAGGATTTCGTTGGAAACGGGAATAATTTCCCATAACTAAACACAAACACTCTGAGAAAGTTCTTCATGATGAATGCATTTAACTCGCAGAGATGAACCTGCCTTTGAGAGTTCAGGTTCGAAACACTCTTTCTGTATAATCTGCAAGTGGATATTTGGACCACTGGGTGGCCTTCGTTCGAAACGGGTATATGTTCACG
Organism: Homo sapiens; assembly: GCF_000001405.40. Classification (NCBI taxonomy): domain Eukaryota; kingdom Metazoa; phylum Chordata; class Mammalia; order Primates; family Hominidae; genus Homo; species Homo sapiens. The sequence continues at coordinate 60,468,867 of NC_000023.11, forward strand.
TAAAAACTAAAGAGAAGCATTCTCAGAAACTTCTGAGTGATGATTGCATTCAAGTCACACAGTTGAACCCTCCTTTTGATGGAGCAGTTTTGAAACTGTCTTTTTGTAGAATCTGTAAGTGGATACGTGGACCTCTTTGAAGATTTCTTTGGAAACGGGAATATTTCCACAGAAAAACTAAACTGAAACATTCTCAGAAACCGCTTTGTGATGTTTGTGTTCCAGCCACAGAGTTTAACATTGCTTTTCATAGAGCAGTTTTGAAATATTCTTTTGGCAGAATCTGCAAGTGGACATTTGGAGCGCTTTCAGGCCTGTGGTGGAAAAGGCCTGAAAGCCTTTTCCTTTATCTTCACAGAAAGAGAAGCATTGTCAGAAACTTCTTTGTGATGATTGCATTCAACTCACAGAGTTGAAGATTCCTTTTGAAACAGCAGTTTCGAAACACTCTTTCTGTGGGATCCGCAAGGGGATATTTGGACCTCTTTGAAGGTTTCGTTGGAAACGGGATAATCTTCACCTAAAAGCTAAACGGAAGCATTCTCAGAAACTTCTTTGGGATGTTTTGCATTCACCTCACAGAGTTGAACTTTCCCTTTGATAGCGCAGCTTTGACACACTTTTTCTACAATGTGCAAGTGGCTATTTAGCGGGCTTGGAGGACTGTGTTGGAAAAGGAAATATCTTCTCCTAAAAACGACATAGAAGCATTCTCAGAAACTGCTCTGTGATGATTGCATTCAACTCCCAGAGTTGAACATTCCTTTTGATAGAGCAGTTTGCAAACACTCTTTTTGTAGAATCTGCAAGTGGAGATTTGGACCGCTTTGAGGCCTGTGGTAGTGAAGGAAAGAACTTCATATAAAAACCAGACGGTAGCACTCTCAGAAAATTCTTTGTGACGATGGAGTTTAACTCAGGGAGCTGAACATTCGTTATGATGGAGCAGTTTCCAAACACACGTTTTGTAGAATCTGCAAGGGGATATTTGGACCTCTCTGAGGATTTCGTTGGAAACGGGATCAACTTCCCATAACTGAACGGAAGCAAACTCAGAACATTCTTTGTGATGTTTGTATTCAACTCACAGAGTTGAACCTTCCTTTGATAGTTCAGGTTTGCAACACCCTTGTAGTAGAATCTGCAAGTGTATATTTTGACCACTTTGTAGCCTTCGTTTGAACGTCTATATCTTCACATCAAACCTAGACAGAAGCATTCTCAGAAAGTTTTCTGCGATGACTGCATTCAACTCACAGAGTTGAACAATCCTTTTGATGGAGCAGTTTTGAAACCCTCTTTCTTTGGAATCTGCAAGGGGATATGTGGACCTCTTTGAAGATTTCACTGGAAACGGGATCATCTTCACATAAGAACTAAACAGAAGCATTCTCGGAAACTACTTTGTGATGTTTGTATTCAACTCCCAGAGTTGAACTTTCCTTTTGAAAGAGCAGCTATGAAACACTCTTTTTCGAGAATCTGCAAGTGGACGTTTGGAGGGCTTTGAGGCCTGTGGTGGAAAAGGAAATATCTTCACATAAAAACTAGATAGAAGCATTCTCACAAACGACTTTGTGAGGATGGCATTCAACTCATGGAGTTGAACAATCCTATTGATAGAGCAGATTGGAATCACTCTTTTTGTAGAATCTGCAAATGGAGATTTGGACTGCTTTGAGGCCTACGGTAGTATAGGAAGGAACTTCATATAAAAGGCAAACGGAAGCATTCTCAGAATATTCTTTGTGATGATGGAGTTTCACTCACAGAGCTGAACATGCCTTTTGATGGAGCAGTTTCCAAATACACTTTTGGTAGAATCTGCAGGTGGATATTTGGACCTCTCTGAGGATTTCGTTGGAAACGGGAATAATTTCCCATACCTAAACACAAACACTCTGAGAAAGTTCTTCATGATGAATGCATTGAACTCGCAGAGATGAACCTGCCTTTGAGAGTTCAGGTTCGAAACACTCTTTCTGTAGAATCTGCAAGTGGATATTTGGACCACTGGGTGGCCTTCGTTCGAAACGGGTATATGTTCACGTAAAAACTAAAGAGAAGCATTCTCAGAAACTTCTGAGTGATGATTGCATTCAAGTCACACGGTTGAACCCTCCTTTTGATTGAGCAGTTTTGAAACTGTCTTTTTGTAGAATCTGTAAGTGGATACGTGGACCTCTTTGAAGATTTCTTTGGAAATGGGAATATTTCCACAGAAAAACTAAACTGAAGCATTCTCAGAAACTGCTTTGTGATGTTTGTGTTCGAGCCGCAGAGTTTAACATTGCTTTTCATAGAGCAGTTTTGAAATATTCTTTTGGCAGAATCTGCAAGTGGACATTTGGAGCGCTTTCAGGCCTGTGGTGGAAAAGGCCTGAAAGCCTTTTCCTTTATCTTCACAGAAAGACGAGAGAGAAGCATTGTCAGAAACTTCTTTGTGATGATTGCATTCAACTCACAGAGTTGAAGATTCCTTTTGAAACAGCAGTTTCGAAACACTTTTTCTGTGGGATCCGCAAGGGGATATTTGGACCTCTTTGAAGATTTCGTTGGAAACGGGATAATCTTCACCTAAAAGCTAAACGGAAGCATTCTCAGAAACTTCTTTGGGATGTTTGCATTCACCTCACAGAGTTGAACTTTCCCTTTGATAGCGCAGCTTCGACACCCTTTTTCTACAATGTGCAAGTGGATATTTAGCGGGCTTGGAGGACTGTGTTGGAAAAGGAAATATCTTCTCCTAAAAACGACATAGAAGCATTCTCAGAAACTGCTCTGTGATGATTGCATTCAACTCCCAGAGTTGAACATTCCTTTTGATAGAGCAGTTTGCAAACACTCTTTTTGTAGAATCTGCAAGTGGAGATTTGGACCGCTTTGAGGCCTGTGGTAGTAAAGGAAAGAACTTCATATAAAAACCAGATGGTAGCACTCTCAGAAAATTCTTTGTGACGATGGAGTTTAACTCAGAGAGCTGAACATTCGTTATGATGGAGCAGTTTCCAAACACACGTTTTGTAGAATCTGCAAGGGGATATTTGGACCTCTCTGAGGATTTCGTTGGAAACGGGATCAACTTCCCATAACTGAACGGAAGCAAACTCAGAACATTCTTTGTGATGTTTGTATTCAACTCACAGAGTTGAACCTTCCTTTGATAGTTCAGGTTTGCAACACCCTTGTAGTAGAATCTGCAAGTGTATATTTTGACCACTTTGTAGCCTTCGTTTGAAACGTCTATATCTTCACCTCAAACCTAGACAGAAGCATTCTCAGAAAGTTTTCTGCGATGACTGCATTCAACTCACAGAGTTGAACAATCCTTTTGATGGAGCAGTCTTGAAACCCTCTTTCTTTGGAATCTGCAAGGGGATATGTGGACCTCTTTGAAGATTTCACTGGAAACGGGATCATCTTCACATAAGAACTAAACAGAAAGCATTCTCGGAAACTATTTTGTGATGTTTGTATTCAACTCCCAGAGTTGAACTTTCCTTTTGAAAGAGCAGCTATGAAACACTCTTTTTCGAGAATCTGCAAGTGGACGTTTGGAGGGCTTTGAGGCCTGTGGTGGAAAAGGAAATATCTTCACACAAAAACCAGATAGAAGCATTCTCAGAAACGACTTTGTGAGGATGGCATTCAACTCATGGAGTTGAACAATCCTATTGATAGAGCAGATTGGAATCACTCTTTTTGTAGAATCTGCAAATGGAGATTTGGACTGCTTTGAGGCCTACGGTAGTACAGGAAGGAACTTCATATAAAAGGCAAACGGAAGCATTCTCAGAATATTCTTTGTGATGATGGAGTTTCACTGACAGAGCTGAACATGCCTTTTGATGGAGCAGTTTCCAAATACACTTTTGGTAGAATCTGCAGGTGGATATTTGGAGCTCTCTGAGGATTTCGTTGGAAACGGGAATAATTTCCCATAACTAAACACAAACACTCTGAGAAAGTTCTTCATGATGAATGCATTTAACTCGCAGAGATGAACCTGCCTTTGAGAGTTCAGGTTCGAAACACTCTTTCTGTATAATCTGCAAGTGGATATTTGGACCACTGGGTGGCCTTCGTTCGAAACGGGTATATGTTCACGTAAAAACTAAAGAGAAGCATTCTCAGAAACTTCTGAGTGATGATTGCATTCAAGTCACACAGTTGAACCCTCCTTTTGATGGAGCAGTTTTGAAACTGTCTTTTTGTAGAATCTGTAAGTGGATACGTGGACCTCTTTGAAGATTTCTTTGGAAACGGGAATATTTCCACAGAAAAACTAAACTGAAGCATTCTCAGAAACTGCTTTGTGATGTTTGTGTTCGAGCCACAGAGTTTAACATTGCTTTTCATAGAGCAGTTTTGAAATATTCTTTTAGCAGAATCTGCAAGTGGACATTTGGAGCGCTTTCAGGCCTGTGGTGGAAAAGGCCTGAAAGCCTTTTCCTTTATCTTCACAGAAAGACGAGAGAGAAGCATTGCCAGAAACTTCTTTGTGATGATTGCATTCAACTCACAGAGTTGAAGATTCCTTTTGAAACAGCAGTTTCGAAACACTCTTTCTGTGGGATCCGCAAGGGGATATTTGGACCTCTTTGAAGGTTTCGTTGGAAACGGGATAATCTTCACCTAAAAGCTAAACGGAGCATTCTCAGAAACTTCTTTGGGATGTTTGCATTCACCTCACAGAGTTGAACTTTCCCTTTGATAGCGCAGCTTTGACACACTTTTTCTACAATGTGCAAGTGGCTATTTAGCGGGCTTGGAGGACTGTGTTGGAAAAGGAAATATCTTCTCCTAAAAACGACATAGAAGCATTCTCAGAAACTGCTCTGTGATGATTGCATTCAACTCCCAGAGTTGAACATTCCTTTTGATAGAGCAGTTTGCAAACACTCTTTTTGTAGAATCTGCAAGTGGAGATTTGGACCGCTTTGAGGCCAGTGGTAGTGAAGGAAAGAACTTCATATAAAAACCAGACGGTAGCACTCTCAGAAAATTCTTTGTGACGATGGAGTTTAACTCAGGGAGCTGAACATTCGTTATGATGGAGCAGTTTCCAAACACACGTTTTGTAGAATCTGCAAGGGGATATTTGGACCTCTCTGAGGATTTCGTTGGAAACGGGATCAACTTCCCATAACTGAACGGAAGCAAACTCAGAACATTCTTTGTGATGTTTGTATTCAACTCACAGAGTTGAACCTTCCTTTGATAGTTCAGGTTTGCAACACCCTTGTAGTAGAATCTGCAAGTGTATATTTTGACCACTTTGTAGCCTTCATTTGAAACGTCTATATCTTCACATCAATCCTAGACAGAAGCATTCTCAGAAAGTTTTCTGCGATGACTGCATTCAACTCACAGAGTTGAACAATCCTTCTGATGGAGCAGTTTTGAAACCCTCTTTCTTTGGAATCTGCAAGGGGATATGTGGACCTCTTTGAAGATTTCACTGGAAACGGGATCATCTTCACATAAAAACTAAACAGAAGCATTCTCGGAAACTACTTTGTGATGTTTGTATTCAACTCCCAGAGTTGAACTTTCCTTTTGAAAGAGCAGCTATGAAACACTCTTTTTCGAGAATCTGCAAGTGGACGTTTGGAGGGCTTGGAGGCCTGTGGTGGAAAAGGAAATACCTTCACATAAAAACTAGATAGAAGCATTCTCAGAAACTACTTTGTGAGGATGGCATTCAACTCATGGAGTTGAACAATCCTATTGATAGAGCAGATTGGAATCACTCTTTTTGTAGAATCTGCAAATGGAGATTTGGACTGCTTTGAGGCCTACGGTCGTATAGGAAGGAACTTCATATAAAAGGCAAACGGAAGCATTCTCAGAATATTCTTTGTGATGATGGAGTTTCACTCACAGAGCTGAACATGCCTTTTGATGGAGCAGTTTCCAAATACACTTTTGGTAGAATCTGCAGGTGGATATTTGGACCACTCTGAGGATTTCGTTGGAAACGGGAATAATTTCCCATAACTAAACACAAACACTCTGAGAAAGTTCTTCATGATGAATGCATTTAACTCGCAGAGATGAACCTGCCTTTGAGAGTTCAGGTTCGAAACACTCTTTCTGTATAATCTGCAAGTGGATATTTGGACCACTGGGTGGCCTTCGTTCGAAACGGGTATATGTTCACGTAAAAACTAAAGAGAAGCATTCTCAGAAACTTCTGAGTGATGATTGCATTCAAGTCACACAGTTGAACCCTCCTTTTGATGGAGCAGTTTTGAAACTGTCTTTTTGTAGAATCTGTAAGTGGATACGTGGACCTCTTTGAAGATTTCTTTGGAAACGGGAATATTTCCACAGAAAAACTAAACTGAAACATTCTCAGAAACCGCTTTGTGATGTTTGTGTTCCAGCCACAGAGTTTAACATTGCTTTTCATAGAGCAGTTTTGAAATATTCTTTTGGCAGAATCTGCAAGTGGACATTTGGAGCGCTTTCAGGCCTGTGGTGGAAAAGGCCTGAAAGCCTTTTCCTTTATCTTCACAGAAAGACGAGAGAGAAGCATTGTCAGAAACTTCTTTGTGATGATTGCATTCAACTCACAGAGTTGAAGATTCCTTTTGAAACAGCAGTTTCGAAACACTCTTTCTGTGGGATCCGCAAGGGGATATTTGCACCTCTTTGAAGGTTTCGTTGGAAACGGGATAATCTTCACCTAAAAGCTAAACGGAAGCATTCTCAGAAACTTCTTTGGGATGTTTGCATTCACCTCACAGAGTTGAACTTTCCCTTTGATAGCGCAGCTTTGACACACTTTTTCTACAATGTGCAAGTGGATATTTAGCGGGCTTGGAGGACTGTGTTGGAAAAGGAAATATCTTCTAAAAACGACATAGAAGCATTCTCAGAATCTGCTCTGTGATGATTGCATTCAACTCCCAGAGTTGAACATTCCTTTTGATAGAGCAGTTTGCAAACACTCTTTTTGTAGAATCTGCAAGTGGAGATTTGGACCGCTTTGAGGCCTGTGGTAGTGAAGGAAAGAACTTCATATAAAAACCAGACGGTAGCACTCTCAGAAAATTCTTTGTGACGATGGAGTTTAACTCAGGGAGCTGAACATTCGTTATGATGGAGCAGTTTCCAAACACACGTTTTGTAGAATCTGCGAGGGGATATTTGGACCTCTCTGAGGATTTCGTTGGAAACGGGATCAACTTCCCATAACTGAACGGAAGCAAACTCAGAACATTCTTTGTGATGTTTGTATTCAACTCACAGAGTTGAACCTTCCTTTGATAGTTCAGGTTTGCAACACCCTTGTAGTAGAATCTGCAAGTGTATATTTTGACCACTTTGTAGCCTTCATTTGAAACGTCTATATCTTCACATCAAACCTAGACAGAAGCATTCTCAGAAAGTTTTCTGCGATGACTGCATTCAACTCACAGAGTTGAACAATCCTTCTGATGGAGCAGTTTTGAAACCCTCTTTCTTTGGAATCTGCAAGGGGATATGTGGACCTCTTTGAAGATTTCACTGGAAACGGGATCATCTTCACATAAAAACTAAACAGAAGCATTCTCGGAAACTACTTTGTGATGTTTGTATTCAACTCCCAGAGTTGAACTTTCCTTTTGAAAGAGCAGCTATGAAACACTCTTTTTCGAGAATCTGCAAGTGGACGTTTGGAAGGCTTTGAGGCCTGTGGTGGAAAAGGAAATATCTTCACATAAAAACTAGATAGAAGCATTCTCAGAAACTACTTTGTGAGGATGGCATTCAACTCATGGAGTTGAACAATCCTATTGATAGAGCAGATTGGAATCACTCTTTTTGTAGAATCTGCAAATGGAGATTTGGACTGCTTTGAGGCCTACGGTCGTATAGGAAGGAACTTCATATAAAAGGCAAACGGAAGCATTCTCAGAATATTCTTTGTGATGATGGAGTTTCACTCACAGAGCGGAACATGCCTTTTGATGGAGCAGTTTCCAAATACACTTTTGGTAGAATCTGCAGGTGGATATTTGGAGCTCTCTGAGGATTTCGTTGGAAACGGGAATAATTTCCCATAACTAAACACAAACACTCTGAGAAAGTTCTTCATGATGAATGCATTTAACTCGCAGAGATGAACCTGCCTTTGAGAGTTCATGTTCGAAACACTCTTTCTGTAGAATCTGCAAGTGGATATTTGGACCACTGGGTGGCCTTCGTTCGAAACGGGTATATGTTCACGTAAAAACTAAAGAGAAGCATTCTCAGAAACTTCTGAGTGATGATTGCATTCAAGTCACACAGTTGAACCCTCCTTTTGATGGAGCAGTTTTGAAACTGTCTTTTTGTAGAATCTGTAAGTGGATACGTGGACCTCTTTGAAGATTTCTTTGGAAACGGGAATATTTCCACAGAAAAACTAAACTGAATCATTCTCAGAAACCGCCTTGTGATGTTTGTGTTCGAGCCACAGAGTTTAACATTGCGTTTCATAGAGCAGTTTTGAAATATTCTTTTGGCAGAATCTGCAAGTGGACATTTGGAGCGCTTTCAGGCCTGTGGTGGAAAAGTCCTGAAAGCCTTTTCCTTTACCTTCACAGAAAGACGAGAGAGAAGCATTGTCAGAAACTTCTTTGTGATGATTGCATTCAACTCACAGAGTTGAAGATTCCTTTTGAAACAGCAGTTTCGAAACACTCTTTCTGTGGGATCCGCAAGGGGATATTTGGACCTCTTTGAAGGTTTCGTTGGAAACGGGATAATCTTCACCTAAAAGCTAAACGGAAGCATTCTCAGAAACTTCTTTGGGATGTTTGCATTCACCTCACAGAGTTGAACTTTCCCTTTGATAGCGCAGCTTTGACACACTTTTTCTACAATGTGCAAGTGGCTATTTAGCGGGCTTGGAGGACTGTGTTGGAAAAGGAAATATCTTCTCCTAAAAACGACATAGAAGCATTCTCAGAAACTGCTCTGTGATGATTGCATTCAACTCCCAGAGTTGAACATTCCTTTTGATAGAGCAGTTTGCAAACACTCTTTTTGTAGAATCTGCAAGTGGAGATTTGGACCGCTTTGAGGCCTGTGGTAGTGAAGGAAAGAACTTCATATAAAAACCAGACGGTAGCACTCTCAGAAAATTCTTTGTGACGATGGAGTTTAACTCAGGGAGCTGAACATTCGTTATGATGGAGCAGTTTCCAAACACACGTTTTGTAGAATCTGCGAGGGGATATTTGGACCTCTCTGAGGATTTCGTTGGAAACGGGATCAACTTCCCATAACTGAACGGAAGCAAACTCAGAACATTCTTTGTGATGTTTGTATTCAATTCACAGAGTTGAAACTTCCTTTGATAGTTCAGGTTTGCAACACCCTTGTAGTAGAATCTGCAAGTGTATATTTTGACCACTTTGTAGCCTTCGTTTGAAACGTCTATATCTTCACATCAAACCTAGACAGAAGCATTCTCAGAAAGATTTCTGCGATGACTGCATTGAACTCACAGAGTTGAACAATCCTTCTGATGGAGCAGTTTTTAAACCCTCTTTCTTTGGAATCTGCAAGGGGATATGTGGACCTCTTTGAAGATTTCACTGGAAACGGGATCATCTTCACATAAAAACTAAACAGAAGCATTCTCGGAAACTATTTTGTGATGTTTGTATTCAACTCCCAGAGTTGAACTTTCCTTTTGAAAGAGCAGCTATGAAACACTCTTTTTCGAGAATCTGCAAGTGGACGTTTGGAGGGCTTTGAGGCCTGTGGTGGAAAAGGAAATATCTTCACACAAAAACCAGATAGAAGCATTCTCAGAAACGACTTTGTGAGGATGGCATTCAACTCATGGAGTTGAACAATCCTATTGATAGAGCAGATTGGAATCACTCTTTTTGTAGAATCTGCAAATGGAGATTTGGACTGCTTTGAGGCCTACGGTAGTATAGGAAGGAACTTCATATAAAAGGCAAACGGAAGCATTCTCAGAATATTCTTTGTGATGATGGAGTTTCACTGACAGAGCTGAACATGCCTTTTGATGGAGCAGTTTCCAAATACACTTTTGGTAGAATCTGCAGGTGGATATTTGGAGCTCTCTGAGGATTTCGTTGGAAACGGGAATAATTTCCCATAACTAAACACAAAACACTCTGAGAAAGTTCTTCATGATGAATGCATTTAACTCGCAGAGTATGAACCTGCCTTTGAGAGTTCAGGTTCGAAACACTCTTTCTGTAGAATCTGCAAGTGGATATTTGGACCACTGGGTGGCCTTCGTTCGAAACGGGTATATGTTCACGTAAAAACTAAAGAGAAGCATTCTCAGAAACTTCTGAGTGATGATTACATTCAAGTCACACAGTTGAACCCTCCTTTTGATTGAGCAGTTTTGAAACTGTCTTTTTGTAAAATCTGTAAGTGGATACGTGGACCTCTTTGAATATTTCTTTGGAAACGGGAATATTTCCACAGAAAAACTAAACTGAAGCATTCTCAGAAACTGCTTTGTGATGTTTGTGTTCGAGCCACAGAGTTTAACATTGCTTTTCATAGAGCAGTTTTGAAATATTCTTTTGGCAGAATCTGCAAGTGGACATTTGGAGCGCTTTCAGGCCTGTGGTGGAAAAGGCCTGAAAGCCTTTTCCTTTATCTTCACAGGAAGACGAGAGAGAAGCATTGTCAGAAACTTCTTTTTGATGATTGCATTCAACTCACAGAGTTGAAGATTCCTTTTGAAACAGCAGTTTCGAAACACTCTTTCTGTGGGATCCGCAAGGGGATATTTGGACCTCTTTGAAGGTTTCGTTGGAAACGGGATAATCTTCACCTAAAAGCTAAACGGAAGCATTCTCAGAAACTTCTTTGGGATGTTTGCATTCACCTCACAGAGTTGAACTTTCCCTTTGATAGCGCAGCTTTGACACACTTTTTCTACAATGTGCAAGTGGCTATTTAGCGGGCTTGGAGGACTGTGTTGGAAAAGGAAATATCTTCTCCTAAAAACGACATAGAAGCATTCTCAGAAACTGCTCTGTGATGATTGCATTCAACTCCCAGAGTTGAACATTCCTTTTGATAGAGCAGTTTGCAAACACTCTTTTTGTAGAATCTGCAAGTGGGGATTTGGACCGCTTTGAGGCCTGTGGTAGTGAAGGAAAGAACTTCATATAAAAACCAGACGGTAGCACTCTCAGAAAATTCTTTGTGACGATGGAGTTTAACTCAGGGAGCTGAACATTCGTTATGATGGAGCAGTTTCCAAACACACGTTTTGTAGAATCTGCAAGGGGATATTTGGACCTCTCTGAGGATTTCGTTGGAAACGGGATCAACTTCCCATAACTGAACGGAAGCAAACTCAGAACATTCTTTGTGATGTTTGTATTCAACTCACAGAGTTGAACCTTCCTTTGATAGTTCAGGTTTGCAACACCCTTGTAGTAGAATCTGCAAGTGTATATTTTGACCACTTTGTAGCCTTCGTTTGAAAGGTCTATATCTTCACATCAAACCTAGACAGAAGCATTCTCAGCAAAGTTTTCTGCGATGACTGCATTCAACTCACAGAGTTGAACAATCCTTTTGATGGAGCAGTTTTGAAACCCTCTTTCTTTGGAATCTGCAAGGGGATATGTGGACCTCTTTCAAGATTTCACTGGAAACGGGATCATCTTCACATAAGAACTAAACAGAAGCATTCTCGGAAACTACTTTGTGATGTTTGTATTCAACTCCCAGAGTTGAACTTTCCTTTTGAAAGAGCAGCTATGAAACACTCTTTTTCGAGAATCTGCAAGTGGACGTTTGGAGGGCTTTGAGGCCTGTGGTGGAAAAGGAAATATCTTCACATAAAAACTAGATAGAAGCATTCTCAGAAACGACTTTGTGAGGATGGCATTCAACTCATGGAGTTGAACAATCCTATTGATAGAGCAGATTGGAATCACTCTTTTTGTAGAATCTGCAAATGGAGATTTGGACTGCTTTGAGGCCTACGGTAGTATAGGAAGGAACTTCATATAAAAGGCAAACGGAAGCATTCTCAGAATATTCTTTGTGATGATGGAGTTTCACTCACAGAGCTGAACATGCCTTTTGATGGAGCAGTTTCCAAATACACTTTTGGTAGAATCTGCAGGTGGATATTTGGACCTCTCTGAGGATTTCGTTGGAAACGGCAATAATTTCCCATAACTAAACACAAACACTCTGAGAAAGTTCTTCATGATGAATGCATTTAACTCGCAGAGATGAACCTGCCTTTGAGAGTTCAGGTTCGAAACACTCTTTCTGTATAATCTGCAAGTGGATATTTGGACCACTGGGTGGCCTTCGTTCGAAACGGGTATATGTTCACGTAAAAACTAAAGAGAAGCATTCTCAGAAACTTCTGAGTGATGATTGCATTCAAGTCACACGGTTGAACCCTCCTTTTGATGGAGCAGTTTTGAAACTGTCTTTTTGTAGAATCTGTAAGTGGATACGTGGACCTCTTTGAAGATTTCTTTGGAAACGGGAATATTTCCACAGAAAAACTAAACTGAAGCATTCTCAGAAACCGCTTTGTGATGTTTGTGTTCGAGCCACAGAGTTTAACATTGCTTTTCATAGAGCAGTTTTGAAATATTCTTTTCGCAGAATCTGCAAGTGGACATTTGGAGCGCTTTCAGGCCTGTGGTGGAAAAGGCCTGAAAGCCTTTTCCTTTATCTTCACAGAAAGACGAGAGAGAAGCATTGTCAGAAACTTCTTTGTGATGATTGCATTCAACTCACAGAGTTGAAGATTCCTTTTGAAACAGCAGTTTCGAAACACTCTTTCTGTGGGATCCGCAAGGGGATATTTGGACCTCTTTGAAGGTTTCGTTGGAAACGGGATAATCTTCACCTAAAAGCTAAACGGAAGCATTCTCAGAAACTTCTTTGGGATGTTTGCATTCACCTCACAGAGTTGAACTTTCCCTTTGATAGCGCAGCTTTGACACACTTTTTCTACAATGTGCAAGTGGCTATTTAGCGGGCTTGGAGGACTGTGTTGGAAAAGGAAATATCTTCTCCTAAAAACGACATAGAAGCATTCTCAGAAACTGCTCTGTGATGATTGCATTCAACTCCCAGAGTTGAACATTCCTTTTGATAGAGCAGTTTGCAAACACTCTTTTTGTAGAATCTGCAAGTGGAGATTTGGACCGCTTTGAGGCCTGTGGTAGTGAAGGAAAGAACTTCATATAAAAACCAGACGGTAGCACTCTCAGAAAATTCTTTGTGACGATGGAGTTTAACTCAGGGAGCTGAACATTCGTTATGATGGAGCAGTTTCCAAACACACGTTTTGTAGAATCTGCAAGGGGATATTTGGACCTCTCTGAGGATTTCGTTGGAAACGGGATCAACTTCCCATAACTGAACGGAAGCAAACTCAGAACATTCTTTGTGATGTTTGTATTCAATTCACAGAGTTGAACCTTCCTTTGATAGTTCAGGTTTGCAACACCCTTGTAGTAGAATCTGCAAGTGTATATTTTGACCACTTTGTAGCCTTCGTTTGAAACGTCTATATCTTCACATCAAACCTAGACAGAAGCATTCTCAGAAAGTTTTCTGCGATGACTGCATTCAACTCACAGAGTTGAACAATCCTTTTGATGGAGCAGTTTTGAAACCCTCTTTCTTTGGAATCTGCAAGGGGATATGTGGACCTCTTTGAAGATTTCACTGGAAACGGGATCATCTTCACATAAGAACTAAACAGAAGCATTCTCGGAAACTATTTTGTGATGTTTGTATTCAACTCACAGAGTTGAACTTTCCTTTTGAAAGAGCAGCTATGAAACACTCTTTTTCGAGAATCTGCAAGTGGACGTTTGGAGGGCTTTGAGGCCTGTGGTGGAAAAGGAAATATCTTCACACAAAAACCAGATAGAAGCATTCTCAGCAAACGACTTTGTGAGGATGGCATTCAACTCATGGAGTTGAACAATCCTATTGATAGAGCAGATTGGAATCACTCTTTTTGTAGAATCTGCAAATGGAGATTTGGACTGCTTTGAGGCCTACGGTCGTATAGGAAGGAACTTCATATAAAAGGCAAACGGAAGCATTCTCAGAATATTCTTTGTGATGATGGAGTTTCACTCACAGAGCTGAACATGCCTGTTGATGGAGCAGTTTCCCAATACACTTTTGGTAGAATCTGCAGGTGGACATTTGGACCTCTCTGAGGATTTCTTTGGGAACGGGAATAATTTCCCATAACTAAACACAAACACGCTGAGAAAGTTCTTCATGATGAATGCATTTAACTCGCAGAGATGAACCTGCCTTTGAGAGTTCAGGTTCGAAACACTCTTTCTGTAGAATCTGCAAGTGGATATTTGGACCACTGGGTGGCCTTCATTCGAAACGGGTATATGTTCACGTAAAAACTAAAGAGAAGCGTTCTCAGAAACTTCTGAGTGATGATTGCATTCAAGTCACAGAGTTGAACCCTCGTTTTGATTGAGCAGTTTTGAAACTGTCTATTTGTAGAATCTGTAAGTGGATGCGTGGACCTCTTTGAAGATTTCTTTGGAAACGGGAATATTTCCACAGAAAAACTAAACTGAAGCATTCTTAGAAACTGCTTTGTGATGTTTGTGTTCGAGCCACAGAGTTTAACATTGCTTTTCATAGAGCAGTTTTGAAATATTCTTTTGGCAGAATCTGCAAGTGGACATTTGGAGCGCTTTCAGGCCTGTGGTGGAAAAGGCCTGAAAGCCTTTTCCTTTATCTTCACAGAAAGACGAGAGAGAAGCATTGTCAGAAACTTCTTTGTGATGATTGCATTCAACTCACAGAGTTGAAGATTCCTTTTGAAACAGCAGTTTCGAAACACTCTTTCTGTGGGATCCGCAAGGGGATATTTGGACCTCTTTGAAGATTTCGTTGGAAACGGGATAATCTTCACCTAAAAGCTAAACGGAAGCATTCTCAGAAACTTCGTTGGGATGTTTGCATTCACCTCACAGAGTTGAACTTTCCCTTTGATAGCGCAGCTTCGACACTCTTTTTCTACAATGTGCAAGTGGCTATTTAGCGGGCTTGGAGGACTGTGTTGGAAAAGGAAATATCTTCTCCTAAAAACGACATAGAAAGCATTCTCAGAAACTGCTCTGTGATGATTGCATTCAACTCCCAGAGTTGAACATTCCTTTTGATAGAGCAGTTTGCAAACACTCTTTTTGTAGAATCTGCAAGTGGAGATTTGGACCGCTTTGAGGCCTGTGGTAGTGAAGGAAAGAACTTCATATAAAAACCAGACGGAGCACTCTCAGAAAATTCTTTGTGACGATGGAGTTTAACTCAGGGAGCTGAACATTCGTTATGATGGAGCAGTTTCCAAACACACGTTTTGTAGAATCTGCAAGGGGATATTTGGACCTCTCTGAGGATTTCGTTGGAAACGGGATCAACTTCCCATAACTGAACGGAAGCAAACTCAGAACATTCTTTGTGATGTTTGTATTCAACTCACAGAGTTGAACCTTCCTTTTATAGTTCAGGTTTGCAACACCCTTGTAGTAGAATCTGCAAGTGTATATTTTGACCACTTTGTAGCCTTCATTTGAAACGTCTATATCTTCACATCAAACCTAGACAGAAGCATTCTCAGAAAGTTTTCTGCGATGACTGCATTCAACTCACAGAGTTGAACAATCCTTTTGATGGAGCAGTTTTGAAACCCTCTTTCTTTGCAATCTGCAAGGGGATATGTGGACCTCTTTGAAGATTTCACTGGAAACGGGATCATCTTCACATAAAAACTAAACAGAAGCATTCTCGGAAACTACTTTGTGATGTTTGTATTCAACTCCCAGAGTTGAACTTTCCTTTTGAAAGAGCAGCTATGAAACACTCTTTTTCGAGAATCTGCAAGTGGACGTTTGGAGGGCTTTGAGGCCTGTGGTGGAAAAGGAAATATCTTCACATAAAAACTAGATAGAAGCATTCTCAGAAACTACTTTGTGAGGATGGCATTCAACTCATGGAGTTGAACAATCCTATTGATAGAGCAGATTGGAATCACTCTTTTTGTAGAATCTGCAAATGGAGATTTGGACTGCTTTGAGGCCTACGGTCGTATAGGAAGGAACTTCATATAAAAGGTAAACGGAAGCATTCTCAGAATATTCTTTGTGATGATGGAGTTTCACTCACAGAGCTGAACATGCCTTTTGATGGAGCAGTTTCCAAATACACTTTTGGTAGAATCTGCAGGTGGATATTTGGAGCTCTCTGAGGATTTCGTTGGAAACGGGAATAATTTCCCATAACTAAACACAAACACTCTGAGAAAGTTCTTCATGACGAATGCATTTAACTCGCAGAGATGAACCTACCTTTGAGAGTTCAGGTTCGAAACACTCTTTCTGTAGAATCTGCAAGTGGATATTTGGACCACTGGGTGGCCTTCGTTCGAAACGGGTATATGTTCACGTAAAAACTAAAGAGAAGCATTCTCAGAAACTTCTGAGTGATGATTGCATTCAAGTCACACAGTTGAACCCTCCTTTTGATGGAGCAGTTTTGAAACTGTCTTTTTGTAGAATCTGTAAGTGGATACGTGGACCTCTTTGAAGATTTCTTTGGAAACGGGAATATTTCCACAGAAAAACTAAACTGAAACATTCTCAGAAACCGCTTTGTGATGTTTGTGTTCCAGCCACAGAGTTTAACATTGCTTTTCATAGAGCAGTTTTGAAATATTCTTTTGGCAGAATCTGCAAGTGGACATTTGGAGCGCTTTCAGGCCTGTGGTGGAAAAGGCCTGAAAGCCTTTTCCTTTATCTTCACAGAAAGACGAGAGAGAAGCATTGTCAGAAACTTCTTTGTGATGATTGCATTCAACTCACAGAGTTGAAGATTCCTTTTGAAACAGCAGTTTCGAAACACTCTTTCTGTGGGATCCGCAAGGGGATATTTGGACCTCTTTGAAGGTTTCGTTGGAAACGGGATAATCTTCACCTAAAAGCTAAACGGAAGCATTCTCAGAAACTTCTTTGGGATGTTTGCATTCACCTCACAGAGTTGAACTTTCCCTTTGATAGCGCAGCTTTGACACACTTTTTCTACAATGTGCAAGTGGCTATTTAGCGGGCTTGGAGGACTGTGTTGGAAAAGGAAATATCTTCTCCTAAAAACGACATAGAAGCATTCTCAGAAACTGCTCTGTGATGATTGCATTCAACTCCCAGAGTTGAACATTCCTTTTGATAGAGCAGTTTGCAAACACTCTTTTTGTAGAATCTGCAAGTGGAGATTTGGACCGCTTTGAGGCCTGTGGTAGTGAAGGAAAGAACTTCATATAAAAACCAGACGGTAGCACTCTCAGAAAATTCTTTGTGACGATGGAGTTTAACTCAGGGAGCTGAACATTCGTTATGATGGAGCAGTTTCCAAACACACGTTTTGTAGAATCTGCAAGGGGATATTTGGACCTCTCTGAGGATTTCGTTGGAAACGGGATCAACTTCCCATAACTGAACGGAAGCAAACTCAGAACATTCTTTGTGATGTTTGTATTCAACTCACAGAGTTGAACCTTCCTTTGATAGTTCAGGTTTGCAACACCCTTGTAGTAGAATCTGCAAGTGTATATTTTGACCACTTTGTAGCCTTCATTTGAAACGTCTATACCTTCACATCAAACCTAGACAGAAGCATTCTCAGAAAGTTTTCTGCGATGACTGCATTCAACTCACAGAGTTGAACAATCCTTCTGATGGAGCAGTTTTGAAACCCTCTTTCTTTGGAATCTGCAAGGGGATATGTGGACCTCTTTGAAGATTTCACTGGAAACGGGATCATCTTCAAATAAAAACTAAACAGAAGCATACTGGGAAACTACTTTGTGATGTTTGTATTCAACTCCCAGAGTTGAACTTTCCTTTTGAAGGGCAGGTATGAAACACTCTTTTTCGAGAATCTGCAAGTGGACGTTTGGAGGGCTTTGAGGCCTGTGGTGGAAAAGGAAATATCTTCACATAAAAACTAGATAGAAGCATTCTCAGAAACGACTTTGTGAGGATGGCATTCAACTCATGGAGTTGAACAATCCTATTGATAGAGCAGATTGGAATCACTCTTTTTGTAGAATCTGCAAATGGAGATTTGGACTGCTTTGAGGCCTACGGTAGTATAGGAAGGAACTTCATATAAAAGGCAAACGGAAGCATTCTCAGAATATTCTTTGTGATCATGGAGTTTCACTCACAGAGCTGAACATGCCTTTTGATGGAGCAGTTTCCAAATACACTTTTGGTAGAATCTGCAGGTGGATATTTGGAGCTCTCTGAGGATTTAGTTGGAAAAGGGAATAATTTCCCATAACTAAACACAAACACGCTGAGAAAGTTCTTCATGATGAATGCATTTAACTCGCAGAGATGAACCTGCCTTTGAGAGTTCAGGTTCGAAACACTCTTTGTGTAGAATCTGCAAGTGGATATTTGGACCACTGGCTGGCCTTCGTTCGAAACGGGTATATGTTCACGTAAAAACTAAAGAGAAGCGTTCACACAAACTTCTGAGTGATGATTGCATTCAAGTCACACAGTTGAACCCTCCTTTTGATTGAGCAGTTTTGAAACTGTCTTTTTGTAGAATCTGTAAGTGGATGCGTGGACCTCTTTGAAGATTTCTTTGGAAACGGGAATATTTCCACAGAAAAACTAAACTGAAGCATTCTCAGAAACTGCTTTGTGATGTTTGTGTTCGAGCCACAGAGTTTAACATTGCTTTTCATAGAGCAGTTTTGAAATATTCTTTTGGCAGAATCTGCAAGTGGAGATTTGGAGCGCTTTCAGGCCTGTGGTGGAAAAGGCCTGAAAGCCTTTTCCTTTATCTTCACAGAAAGACGAGAGAGAAGCATTGTCAGAAACTTCTTTGTGAAGATTGCATTCAACTCACAGAGTTGAAGATTCCTTTTGAAACAGCAGTTTCGAAACACTCTTTCTGTGGGATCTGCAAGGGGATATTTGGACCTCTTTGAAGATTTCGTTGGAAACAGGATAATCTTCACCTAAAAGCTAAACGGAAGCATTCTCAGAAACTTCTTTGGGATGTTTGCATTCACCTCACAGAGTTGAACTTTCCCTTTGATAGCGCAGCTTTGACACACTTTTTCTACAATGTGCAAGTGGATATTTAGCGGGCTTGGAGGACTGTGTTGGAAAAGGAAATATCTTCTCCTAAAAACGACATAGAAGCATTCTCAGAAACTGCTCTGTGATGATTGCATTCAACTCCCAGAGTTGAACATTCCTTTTGATAGAGCAGTTTGCAAACACTCTTTTTGTAGAATCTGCAAGTGGAGATTTGGACCGCTTTGAGGCCTGGGGTAGTGAAGGAAAGAGCTTCATATAAAAACCAGACGGTAGCACTCTCAGAAAATTCTTTGTGACGATGGAGTTTAACTCAGGGAGCTGAACATTCGTTATGATGGAGCAGTTTCCAAACACACGTTTTGTAGAATCTGCAAGGGGATATTTGGACCTCTCTGAGGATTTCGTTGGAAACGGGATCAACTTCCCATAACTGAACGGAAGCAAACTCAGAACATTCTTTGTGATGTTTGTATTCAACTCACAGAGTTGAACCTTCCTTTGATAGTTCAGGTTTGCAACACCCTTGTAGTAGAATCTGCAAGTGTATATTTTGACCACTTTGTAGCCTTCGTTTGAAACGTCTATATCTTCACATCAAACCTAGACAGAAGCATTCTCAGAAAGTTTTCTGCGATGACTGCATTCAACTCACAGAGTTGAACAATCCTTCTGATGGAGCAGTTTTGAAACCCTCTTTCTTTGGAATCTGCAAGGGGATATGTGGACCTCTTTGAAGATTTCACTGGAAACGGGATCATCTTCACATAAAAACTAAACAGAAGCATTCTCGGAAACTACTTTGTGATGTTTGTATTCAACTCCCAGAGTTGAACTTTCCTTTTGAAAGAGCAGCTATGAAACACTCTTTTTCGAGAATCTGCAAGTGGACGTTTGGAGGGCTTTGAGGCCTGTGGTGGAAAAGGAAATATCTTCACATAAAA
This sequence comes from Homo sapiens, assembly GCF_000001405.40. NCBI lineage: Eukaryota > Metazoa > Chordata > Mammalia > Primates > Hominidae > Homo > Homo sapiens. The sequence goes on from NC_000023.11 coordinate 60,488,926, forward strand.
ACTAGATAGAAGCATTCTCAGAAACGACTTTGTGAGGATGGCATTCAACACATGGAGTTGAACAATCCTATTGATAGAGCAGATTGGAATCACTCTTTTTGTAGAATCTGCAAATGGAGATTTGGACTGCTTTGAGGCCTACGGTCGTATAGGAAGGAAGTTCATATAAAAGGCAAACGGAAGCATTCTCAGAATATTCTTTGTGATGATGGAGTTTCACTCACAGAGCTGAACATGCCTTTTGATGGAGCAGTTTCCAAATACACTTTTGGTAGAATCTGCAGGTGGATATTTGGAGCTCTCTGAGGATTTCGTTGGAAACGGGAATAATTTCCCATAACTAAACACAAACACTCTGAGAAAGTTCTTCATGATGAATGCTTTTAACTCGCAGAGATGAACCTGCCTTTGAGAGTTCAGGTTCGAAACACTCTTTCTGTAGAATCTGCAAGTGGATATTTGGACCACTGGGTGGCCTTCGTTCGAAACGGGTATATGTTCACGTAAAAACTAAAGAGAAGCATTCTCAGAAACTTCTGAGTGATGATTGCATTCAAGTCACACGGTTGAACCCTCCTTTTGATGGAGCAGTTTTGAAACTGTCTTTTTGTAGAATCTGTAAGTGGATACGTGGACCTCTTTGAAGATTTCTTTGGAAACGGGAATATTTCCACAGAAAAACTAAACTGAAGCATTCTCAGAAACCGCTTTGTGATGTTTGTGTTCGAGCCACAGAGTTTAACATTGCTTTTCATAGAGCAGTTTTGAAATATTCTTTTCGCAGAATCTGCAAGTGGACATTTGGAGCGCTTTCAGGCCTGTGGTGGAAAAGGCCTGAAAGCCTTTTCCTTTATCTTCACAGAAAGACGAGAGAGAAGCATTGTCAGAAACTTCTTTTTGATGATTGCATTCAACTCACAGAGTTGAAGATTCCTTTTGAAACAGCAGTTTCGAAACACTCTTTCTGTGGGATCCGCAAGGGGATATTTGGACCTCTTTGAAGGTTTCGTTGGAAACGGGATAATCTTCACCTAAAAGCTAAACGGAAGCATTCTCAGAAACTTCTTTGGGATGTTTGCATTCACCTCACAGAGTTGAACTTTCCCTTTGATAGCGCAGCTTTGACACACTTTTTCTACAATGTGCAAGTGGCTATTTAGCGGGCTTGGAGGACTGTGTTGGAAAAGGAAATATCTTCTCCTAAAAACGACATAGAAGCATTCTCAGAAACTGCTCTGTGATGATTGCATTCAACTCCCAGAGTTGAACATTCCTTTTGATAGAGCAGTTTGCAAACACTCTTTTTGTAGAATCTGCAAGTGGAGATTTGGACCGCTTTGAGGCCTGTCGTAGTGAAGGAAAGAACTTCATATAAAAACCAGACGGTAGCACTCTCAGAAAATTCTTTGTGACGATGGAGTTTAACTCAGGGAGCTGAACATTCGTTATGATGGAGCAGTTTCCAAACACACGTTTTGTAGAATCTGCGAGGGGATATTTGGACCTCTCTGAGGATTTCGTTGGAAACGGGATCAACTTCCCATAACTGAACGGAAGCAAACTCAGAACATTCTTTGTGATGTTTGTATTCAACTCACAGAGTTGAACCTTCCTTTGATAGTTCAGGTTTGCAACACCCTTGTAGTAGAATCTGCAAGTGTATATTTTGACCACTTTGTAGCCTTCGTTTGAAACGTCTATATCTTCACATCAAACCTAGACAGAAGCATTCTCAGAAAGTTTTCTGCGATGACTGCATTCAACTCACAGAGTTGAACAATCCTTCTGATGGAGCAGTTTTGAAACCCTCTTTCTTTGGAATCTGCAAGGGGATATGTGGACCTCTTTGAAGATTTCACTGGAAACGGGATCATCTTCACATAAAAACTAAACAGAAGCATTCTCGGAAACTACTTTGTGATGTTTGTATTCAACTGCCAGAGTTGAACTTTCCTTTTGAAAGAGCAGCTATGAAACACTCTTTTTCGAGAATCTGCAAGTGGACGTTTGGAGGGCTTTGAGGCCTGTGGTGGAAAAGGAAATATCTTCACATAAAAACTAGATAGAAGCATTCTCAGAAACTACTTTGTGAGGATGGCATTCAACTCATGGAGTTGAACAATCCTATTGATAGAGCAGATTGGAATCACTCTTTTTGTAGAATCTGCAAATGGAGATTTGGACTGCTTTGAGGCCTACAGTAGTACAGGAAGGAACTTCATATAAAAGGCAAACGGAAGCATTCTCAGAATATTCTTTGTGATGATGGAGTTTCACTCACAGAGCTGAACATGCCTTTTGATGGAGCAGTTTCCAAATACACTTTTGGTAGAATCTGCAGGTGGATATTTGGAGCTCCCTGAGGATTTCGTTGGAAACGGGAATAATTTCCCATAACTAAACACAAACACTCTGAGAAAGTTCTTCATGATGAATGCATTTAACTCGCAGAGATGAACCTGCCTTTGAGAGTTCAGGTTCGAAACACTCTTTCTGTATAATCTGCAAGTGGATATTTGGACCACTGGGTGGCCTTCGTTCGAAACGGGTATATGTTCACGTAAAAACTAAAGAGAAGCATTCTCAGATACTTCTGAGTGATGATTGCATTCAAGTCACACGGTTGAACACTCCTTTTGATGGAGCAGTTTTGAAACTGTCTTTTTGTAGAATCTGTAAGTGGATACGTGGACCTCTTTGAAGATTTCTTTGGAAACGGGAATATTTCCACAGAAAAACTAAACTGAAGCATTCTCAGAAACTGCTTTGTGATGTTTGTGTTCGAGCTGCAGAGTTTAACATTGCTTTTCATAGAGCAGTTTTGAAATATTCTTTTGGCAGAATCTGCAAGTGGACATTTGGAGCGCTTTCAGGCCTGTGGTGGAAAAGGCCTGAAAGCCTTTTCCTTTATCTTCACAGAAAGACGAGAGAGAAGCATTGTCAGAAACTTCTTTGTGATGATTGCATTCAACTCACAGAGTTGAAGATTCCTTCTGAAACAGCGGTTTCGAAACACTCTTTCTGTGGGATCCGCAAGGGGATATTTGGACCTCTTTGAAGATTTCGTTGGAAACGGGATAATCTTCACCTAAAAGCTAAACGGAAGCATTCTCAGAAACTTCTTTGGGATGTTTGCATTCACCTCACAGAGTTGAACTTTCCCTTTGATAGCGCAGCTTCGACACACTTTTTCTACAATGTGCAAGTGGCTATTTAGCGGGCTTGGAGGACTGTGTTGGAAAAGGAAATATCTTCTCCTAAAAACGACATAGAAGCATTCTCAGAAACTGCTCTGTGATGATTGCATTCAACTCCCAGAGTTGAACATTCCTTTTGATAGAGCAGTTTGCAAACACTCTTTTTGTAGAATCTGCAAGTGGAGATTTGGACCGCTTTGAGGCCTGTGGTAGTGAAGGAAAGAACTTCATATAAAAACCAGACGGTAGCACTCTCAGAAAATTCTTTGTGACGATGGAGTTTAACTCAGGGAGCTGAACATTCGTTATGATGGAGCAGTTTCCAAACACACGTTTTGTAGAATCTGCGAGGGGATATTTGGACCTCTCTGAGGATTTCGTTGGAAACGGGATCAACTTCCCATAACTGAACGGAAGCAAACTCAGAACATTCTTTGTGATGTTTGTATTCAATTCACAGAGTTGAACCTTCCTTTGATAGTTCAGGTTTGCAACACCCTTGTAGTAGAATCTGCAAGTGTATATTTTGACCACTTTGTAGCCTTCGTTTGAAACGTCTATATCTTCACATCAAACCTAGACAGAAGCATTCTCAGAAAGTTTTCTGCGATGACTGCATTCAACTCACAGAGTTGAACAATCCTTCTGATGGAGCAGTTTTGAAACCCTCTTTCTTTGGAATCTGCAAGGGGATATGTGGACCTCTTTGAAGATTTCACTGGAAACGGGATCATCTTCACATAAAAACTAAACAGAAGCATTCTCGGAAACTATTTTGTGATGTTTGTATTCAACTCCCAGAGTTGAACTTTCCTTTTGAAAGAGCAGCTATGAAACACTCTTTTTCGAGAATCTGCAAGTGGACGTTTGGAGGGCTTTGAGGCCTGTGGTGGAAAAGGAAATATCTTCACACAAAAACCAGATAGAAGCATTCTCAGAAACTACTTTGTGAGGATGGCATTCAACTCATGGAGTTGAACAATCCTATTGATAGAGCAGATTGGAATCACTCTTTTTATAGAATCTGCAAATGGAGATTTGGACTGCTTTGAGGCCTACGGTAGTACAGGAAGGAACTTCATATAAAAGGCAAACGGAAGCATTCTCAGAATATTCTTTGTGATGATGGAGTTTCACTCACAGAGCTGAACATGCCTTTTGATGGAGCAGTTTCCAAATACACTTTTGGTAGAATCTGCAGGTGGATATTTGGAGCTCTCTGAGGATTTCGTTGGAAACGGGAATAATTTCCCATAACTAAACACAAACACTCTGAGAAAGTTCTTCATGATGAATGCATTTAACTCGCAGAGATGAACCTGCCTTTGAGAGTTCAGGTTCGAAACACTCTTTCTGTATAATCTGCAAGTGGATATTTGGACCACTGGGTGGCCTTCGTTCGAAACGGGTATATGTTCACGTAAAAACTAAAGAGAAGCATTCTCAGAAACTTCTGAGTGATGATTGCATTCAAGTCACACGGTTGAACCCTCCTTTTGATGGAGCAGATTTGAAACTGTCTTTTTGTAGAATCTGTAAGTGGATACGTGGACCTCTTTGAAGATTTCTTTGGAAACGGGAATATTTCCACAGAAAAACTAAACTGAAGCATTCTCAGAAACCGCTTTGTGATGTTTGTGTTCGAGCCACAGAGTTTAACATTGCTTTTCATAGAGCAGTTTTGAAATATTCTTTTCGCAGAATCTGCAAGTGGACATTTGGAGCGCTTTCAGGCCTGTGGTGGAAAAGGCCTGAAAGCCTTTTCCTTTATCTTCACAGAAAGACGAGAGAGAAGCATTGTCAGAAACTTCTTTGTGATGATTGCATTCAACTCACAGAGTTGAAGATTCCTTTTGAAACAGCAGTTTCGAAACACTCTTTCTGTGGGATCCGCAAGGGGATATTTGGACCTCTTTGAAGGTTTCGTTGGAAACGGGATAATCTTCACCTAAAAGCTAAACGGAAGCATTCTCAGAAACTTCTTTGGGATGTTTGCATTCACCTCACAGAGTTGAACTTTCCCTTTGATAGCGCAGCTTTGACACACTTTTTCTACAACGTGCAAGTGGCTATTTAGCGGGCTTGGAGGACTGTGTTGGAAAAGGAAATATCTTCTCCTAAAAACGACATAGAAGCATTCTCAGAAACTGCTCTGTGATGATTGCATTCAACTCCCAGAGTTGAACATTCCTTTTGATAGAGCAGTTTGCAAACACTCTTTTTGTAGAATCTGCAAGTGGAGATTTGGACCGCTTTGAGGCCTGTGGTAGTGAAGGAAAGAACTTCATATAAAAACCAGACGGTAGCACTCTCAGAAAATTCTTTGTGACGATGGAGTTTAACTCAGGGAGCTCAACATTCGTTATGATGGAGCAGTTTCCAAACACACGTTTTGTAGAATCTGCAAGGGGATATTTGGACCTCTCTGAGGATTTCGTTGGAAACGGGATCAACTTCCCATAACTGAACGGAAGCAAACTCAGAACATTCTTTGTGATGTTTGTATTCAACTCACAGAGTTGAACCTTCCTTTGATAGTTCAGGTTTGCAACACCCTTGTAGTAGAATCTGCAAGTGTATATTTTGACCACTTTGTAGCCTTCGTTTGAAACATGCTATATCTTCACATCAAACCTAGACAGAAGCATTCTCAGAAAGTTTTCTGCGATGACTGCATTCAACTCACAGAGTTGAACAATCCTTTTGATGGAGCAGTTTTGAAACCCTCTTTCTTTGGAATCTGCAAGGGGATATGTGGACCTCTTTGAAGATTTCACTGGAAACGGGATCATCTTCACATAAGAACTAAACAGAAGCATTCTCGGAAACTACTTTGTGATGTTTGTATTCAACTCCCAGAGTTGAACTTTCCTTTTGAAAGAGCAGCTATGAAACACACTTTTTCGAGAATCTGCAAGTGGACGTTTGGAGGGCTTTGAGGCCTGTGGTGGAAAAGGAAATATCTTCACATAAAAACTAGATAGAAGCATTCTCAGAAACGACTTTGTGAGGATGGCATTCAACTCATGGAGTTGAACAATCCTATTGATAGAGCAGATTGGAATCACTCTATTTGTAGAATCTGCAAATGGAGATTTGGACTGCTTTGAGGCCTACGGTAGTATAGGAAGGAACTTCATATAAAAGGCAAACGGAAGCATTCTCAGAATATTCTTTGTGATGATGGAGTTTCACTCACAGAGCTGCACATGCCTTTTCATGGAGCAGTTTCCAAATACACTTTTGGTAGAATCTGCAGGTGGATATTTGGACCTCTCTGAGGATTTCGTTGGAAACGGGAATAATTTCCCATACCTAAACACAAATACGCTGAGAAAGTTCTTCATGATGAATGCATTTAACTCGCAGAGATGAACCTGCCTTTGAGAGTTCAGGTTCGAAACACTCTTTCTGTAGAATCTGCAAGTGGATATTTGGACCAGTGGCTGGCCTTCGTTCGAAACGGGTATATGTTCACGTAAAAACTAAAGAGAAGCGTTCTCAGCAAACTTCTGAGTGATGATTGCATTCAAGTCACACAGTTGAACCCTCCTTTTGATTGACCAGTTTTGAAACTGTCTTTTTGTAGAATCTGTAAGTGGATGCGTGGACCTCTTTGAAGATTTCTTTGGAAACGGGAATATTTCCACAGAAAAACTAAACTGAAGCATTCTCAGAAACTGCTTTGTGATGTTTGTGTTCGAGCCACAGAGTTTAACATTGCTTTTCATAGAGCAGTTTTGAAATATTCTTTTGGCAGAATCTGCAAGTGGACATTTGGAGCGCTTTCAGGCCTGTGGTGGAAAAGGCCTGAAAGCCTTTTCCTTTATCTTCACAGGAAGACGAGAGAGAAGCATTGTCAGAAACTTCTTTTTGATGATTGCATTCAACTCACAGAGTTGAAGATTCCTTTTGAAACAGCAGTTTCGAAACACTCTTTCTGTGGGATCCGCAAGGGGATATTTGGACCTCTTTGAAGGTTTCGTTGGAAACGGGATAATCTTCACCTAAAAGCTAAACGGAAGCATTCTCAGAAACTTCTTTGGGATGTTTGCATTCACCTCACAGAGTTGAACTTTCCCTTTGATAGCGCAGCTTTGACACACTTTTTCTACAATGTGCAAGTGGCTATTTAGCGGGCTTGGAGGACTGTGTTGGAAAAGGAAATATCTTCTCCTAAAAACGACATAGAAGCATTCTCAGAAACTGCTCTGTGATGATTGCATTCAACTCCCAGAGTTGAACATTCCTTTTGATAGAGCAGTTTGCAAACACTCTTTTTGTAGAATCTGCAAGTGGAGATTTGGACCGCTTTGAGGCCTGTGGTAGTGAAGGAAAGAACTTCATATAAAAACCAGACGGTAGCACTCTCAGAAAATTCTTTGTGACGATGGAGTTTAACTCAGGGAGCTGAACATTCGTTATGATGGAGCAGTTTCCAAACACACGTTTTGTAGAATCTGCAAGGGGATATTTGGACCTCTCTGAGGATTTCGTTGGAAACGGGATCAACTTCCCATAACTGAACGGAAGCAAACTCAGAACATTCTTTGTGATGTTTGTATTCAACTCACAGAGTTGAACCTTCCTTTGATAGTTCAGGTTTGCAACACCCTTGTAGTAGAATCTGCAAGTGTATATTTTGACCACTTTGTAGCCTTCATTTGAAACGTCTATATCTTCACATCAAACCTAGACAGAAGCATTCTCAGAAAGTTTTCTGCGATGACTGCATTCAACTCACAGAGTTGAACAATCCTTCTGATGGAGCAGTTTTGAAACCCTCTTTCTTTGGAATCTTCAAGGGGATATGTGGACCTCTTTGAAGATTTCACTGGAAACGGGATCATCTTCACATAAAAACTAAACTGAAGCATTCTCGGAAACTACTTTGTGATGTTTGTATTCAACTCCCAGAGTTGAACTTTCCTTTTGAAAGAGCAGCTATGAAACACTCTTTTTCGAGAATCTGCAAGTGGACGTTTGGAGGGCTTTGAGGCCTGTGGTGGAAAAGGAAATATCTTCACACAAAAACCAGATAGAAGCATTCTCAGAAACTACTTTGTGAGGATGGCATTCAACTAATGGAGTTGAACAATCCTATTGATAGAGCAGATTGGAATCACTCTTTTTGTAGAATCTGCAAATGGAGATTTGGACTGCTTTGAGGCCTACGGTAGTACAGGAAGGAACTTCATATAAAAGGCAAACGGAAGCATTCTCAGAATATTCTTTGTGATGATGGAGTTTCACTCACAGAGCTGAACATGCCTTTTGATGGAGCAGTTTCCAAATACACTTTTGGTAGAATCTGCAGGTGGATATTTGGAGCTCTCTGAGGATTTCGTTGGAAACGGGAATAATTTCCCATAACTAAACACAAACACTCTGAGAAAGTTCTTCATGATGAATGCATTCAACTCGCAGAGATGAACCTGCCTTTGAGAGTTCATGTTCGAAACACTATTTCTGTAGAATCTGCAAGTGGATATTTGGACCACTGGCTGGCCTTCGTTCGAAACGGGTATATGTTCACGTAAAAACTAAAGAGAAGCATTCTCAGAAACTTCTGAGTGATGATTGCATTCAAGTCACACAGTTGAACCCTCCTTTTGATGGAGCAGTTTTGAAACTGTCTTTTTGTAGAATCTGTAAGTGGATACGTGGACCTCTTTGAAGATTTCTTTGGAAACGGGAATATTTCCACAGAAAAACTAAACTGAAGCATTCTCAGAAACCGCTTTGTGATGTTTGTGTTCGAGCCACAGAGTTTAACATTGCTTTTCATAGAGCAGTTTTGAAATATTCTTTTCGCAGAATCTGCAAGTGGACATTTGGAGCGCTTTCAGGCCTGTGGTGGAAAAGGCCTGAAAGCCTTTTCCTTTATCTTCACAGAAAGACGAGAGAGAAGCATTGTCAGAAACTTCTTTGTGATGATTGCATTCAACTCACAGAGTTGAAGATTCCTTTTGAAACAGCAGTTTCGAAACACTCTTTCTGTGGGATCCGCAAGGGGATATTTGGACCTCTTTGAAGGTTTCGTTGGAAACGGGATAATCTTCACCTAAAAGCTAAACGGAAGCATTCTCAGAAACTTCTTTGGGATGTTTGCATTCACCTCACAGAGTTGAACTTTCCCTTTGATAGCGCAGCTTTGACACACTTTTTCTACAATGTGCAAGTGGCTATTTAGCGGGCTTGGAGGACTGTGTTGGAAAAGGAAATATCTTCTCCTAAAAACGACATAGAAGCATTCTCAGAAACTGCTCTGTGATGATTGCATTCAACTCCCAGAGTTGAACATTCCTTTTGATAGAGCAGTTTGCAAACACTCTTTTTGTAGAATCTGCAAGTGGAGATTTGGACCGCTTTGAGGCCTGTGGTAGTGAAGGAAAGAACTTCATATAAAAACCAGACGGTAGCACTCTCAGAAAATTCTTTGTGACGATGGAGTTTAACTCAGGGAGCTGAACATTCGTTATGATGGAGCAGTTTCCAAACACACGTTTTGTAGAATCTGCGAGGGGATATTTGGACCTCTCTGAGGATTTCGTTGGAAACGGGATCAACTTCCCATAACTGAACGGAAGCAAACTCAGAACATTCTTTGTGATGTTTGTATTCAACTCACAGAGTTGAACCTTCCTTTGATAGTTCAGGTTTGCAACACCCTTGTAGTAGAATCTGCAAGTGTATATTTTGACCACTTTGTAGCCTTCGTTTGAAACGTCTATATCTTCACATCAAACCTAGACAGAAGCATTCTCAGAAAGTTTTCTGCGATGACTGCATTCAACTCACAGAGTTGAACAATCCTTCTGATGGAGCAGTTTTGAAACCCTCTTTCTTTGGAATCTGCAAGGGGATATGTGGACCTCTTTGAAGATTTCACTGGAAACGGGATCATCTTCACATAAAAACTAAACAGAAGCATTCTCGGAAACTACTTTGTGATGTTTGTATTCAACTCCCAGAGTTGAACTTTCCTTTTGAAAGAGCAGCTATGAAACACTCTTTTTCGGGAATCTGCAAGTGGACGTTTGGAAGGCTTTGAGGCCTGTGGTGGAAAAGGAAATATCTTCACATAAAAACTAGATAGAAGCATTCTCAGAAACGACTTTGTGAGGATGGCATTCAACCTCATGGAGTTGAACAATCCTATTGATAGAGCAGATTGGAATCACTCTTTTTGTGGAATCTGCAAATGGAGATTTGGACTGCTTTGAGGCCTACGGTCGTATAGGAAGGAACTTCAGATAAAAGGCAAACGGAAGCATTCTAAGAATATTCTTTATGATGATGGAGTTTCACTCACAGAGCTGAACATGCCTTTTGATGGAGCAGTTTCCAAATACACTTTTGGTAGAATCTGCAGGTGGATATTTGGAGCTCTCTGAGGATTTCGTTGGAAACGGGAATAATTTCCCATAACTAAACACAAACACGCTGAGAAAGTTCTTCATGATGAATGCATTTAACTCGCAGAGATGAACCTGCCTTTGAGAGTTCAGGTTCGAAACACTCCTTCTGTAGAATCTGCAAGTGGATATTTGGACCACTGGCTGGCCTTCGTTCGAAACGGGTATATGTTCACGTAAAAACTAAAGAGAAGCATTCTCAGAAACTTCTGAGTGATGATTGCATTCAAGTCACACAGTTGAACCCTCCTTTTGATGGAGCAGTTTTGAAACTGTCTTTTTGTAGAATCTGTAAGTGGATACGTGGACCTCTTTGAAGATTTCTTTGGAAACGGGAATATTTCCACAGAAAAACTAAACTGAAGCATTCTCAGAAACCGCTTTGTGATGTTTGTGTTCGAGCCACAGAGTTTAACATTGCTTTTCACAAAGCAGTTTTGAAATATTCTTTTCGCAGAATCTGCAAGTGGACATTTGGAGCGCTTTCAGGCCTGTGGTGGCAAAGGCCTGAAAGCATTTATTTATCTTCACAGAAAGACGAGAGAGAAGCATTGTCAGAAACTTCTTTGTGATGATTGCATTCAACTCACAGAGTTGAAGATTCCTTTTGAAACAGCAGTTTCGAAACACTCTTTCTGTGGGATCCGCAAGGGGATATTTGGACCTCTTTGAAGGTTTCGTTGGAAACGGGATAATCTTCACCTAAAAGCTAAACGGAAGCATTCTCAGAAACTTCTTTGGGATGTTTGCATTCACCTCACAGAGTTGAACTTTCCCTTTGATAGCGCAGCTTTGACACACTTTTTCTACAATGTGCAAGTGGCTATTTAGCGGGCTTGGAGGACTGTGTTGGAAAAGGAAATATCTTCTCCTAAAAACGACATAGAAGCATTCTCAGAAACTGCTCTGTGATGATTGCATTCAACTCCCAGAGTTGAACATTCCTTTTGATAGAGCAGTTTGCAAACACTCTTTTTGTAGAATCTGCAAGTGGAGATTTGGACCGCTTTGAGGCCTGTGGTAGTGAAGGAAAGAACTTCATATAAAAACCAGACGGTAGCACTCTCAGAAAATTCTTTGTGACGATGGAGTTTAACTCAGGGAGCTGAACATTCGTTATGATGGAGCAGTTTCCAAACACACGTTTTGTAGAATCTGCAAGGGGATATTTGGACCTCTCTGAGGATTTCGTTGGAAACGGGATCAACTTCCCATAACTGAACGGAAGCAAACTCAGAACATTCTTTGTGATGTTTGTATTCAATTCACAGAGTTGAACCTTCCTTTGATAGTTCAGGTTTGCAACACCCTTGTAGTAGAATCTGCAAGTGTATATTTTGACCACTTTGTAGCCTTCGTTTGAAACGTCTATATCTTCACATCAAACCTAGACAGAAGCATTCTCAGAAAGTTTTCTGCGATGACTGCATTCAACTCACACAGTTGAACAATCCTTCTGATGGAGCAGTTTTGAAACCCTCTTTCTTTGGAATCTGCAAGGGGATATGTGGACCTCTTTGAAGATTTCACTGGAAACGGGATCATCTTCACATAAAAACTAAACAGAAGCATTCTCGGAAACTACTTTGTGATGTTTGTATTCAACTGCCAGAGTTGAACTTTCCTTTTGAAAGAGCAGCTATGAAACACTCTTTTTCGAGAATCTGCAAGTGGACGTTTGGAGGGCTTTGAGGCCTGTGGTGGAAAAGGAAATATCTTCACATAAAAACTAGATAGAAGCATTCTCAGAAACTACTTTGTGAGGATGGCATTCAACTCATGGAGTTGAACAATCCTATTGATAGAGCAGATTGGAATCACTCTTTTTGTAGAATCTGCAAATGGAGATTTGGACTGCTTTGAGGCCTACGGTCGTATAGGAAGGAACTTCATATAAAAGGCAAACGGAAGCATTCTCAGAATATTCTTTGTGATGATGGAGTTTCACTCACAGAGCTGAACATGCCTTTTGATGGAGCAGTTTCCAAATACACTTTTGGTAGAATCTGCAGGTGGATATTTGGAGCTCTTTGAGGATTTCTTTGGAAACGGGAATAATTTCCCATAACTAAACACAAACACTCTGAGAAAGTTCTTCATGATGAATGCATTTAACTCGCAGAGATGAACCTGCCTTTGAGAGTTCAGGTTCGAAACACTCTTTCTGTAGAATCTGCAAGTGGATATTTGGACCACTGGGTGGCCTTCGTTCGAAACGGGTATATGTTCACGTAAAAACTAAAGAGAAGCATTCTCAGAAACTTCTGAGTGATGATTGCATTCAAGTCACACAGTTGAACCCTCGTTTTGATGGAGCAGTTTTGAAACTGTCTTTTTGTAGAATCTGTAAGTGGATACGTGGACCTCTTTGAAGATTTCTTTGGAAACGGGAATATTTCCACAGAAAAACTAAACTGAAGCATTCTCAGAAACCGCTTTGTGATGTTTGTGTTTGAGCCGCAGAGTTTAACATTGCTTTTCATAGAGCAGTTTTGAAATATTCTTTTGGCAGAATCTGCAAGTGGACATTTGGAGCGCTTTCAGGCCTGTGGTGGAAAAGGCCTGAAAGCCTTTTCCTTTATCTTCACAGAAAGACGAGAGAGAAGCATTGTCAGAAACTTCTTTGTGATGATTGCATTCAACTCACAGAGTTGAAGATTCCTTTTGAAACAGCAGTTTCGAAACACTCTTTCTGTGGGATCCGCAAGGGGATATTTGGACCTCTTTGAAGGTTTCGTTGGAAACGGGATAATCTTCACCTAAAAGCTAAACGGAAGCATTCTCAGAAACTTCTTTGGGATGTTTGCATTCACCTCACAGAGTTGAACTTTCCCTTTGATAGCGCAGCTTTGACACACTTTTTCTACAATGTGCAAGTGGCTATTTAGCGGGCTTGGAGGACTGTGTTGGAAAAGGAAATATCTTCTCCTAAAAACGACATAGAAGCATTCTCAGAAACTGCTCTGTGATGATTGCATTCAACTCCCAGAGTTGAACATTCCTTTTGATAGAGCAGTTTGCAAACACTCTTTTTGTAGAATCTGCAAGTGGAGATTTGGACCGCTTTGAGGCCTGTGGTAGTGAAGGAAAGAGCTTCATATAAAAACCAGACGGTAGCACTCTCAGAAAATTCTTTGTGACGATGGAGTTTAACTCAGGGAGCTGAACATTCGTTATGATGGAGCAGTTTCCAAACACACGTTTTGTAGAATCTGCAAGGGGATATTTGGACCTCTCTGAGGATTTCGTTGGAAACGGGATCAACTTCCCATAACTGAACGGAAGCAAACTCAGAACATTCTTTGTGATGTTTGTATTCAACTCACAGAGTTGAACCTTCCTTTGATAGTTCAGGTTTGCAACACCCTTGTAGTAGAATCTGCAAGTGTATATTTTGACCACTTTGTAGCCTTCGTTTGAAACGTCTATATCTTCACATCAAACCTAGACAGAAGCATTCTCAGAAAGTTTTCTGCGATGACTGCATTCAACTCACAGAGTTGAACAATCCTTCTGATGGAGCAGTTTTGAAACCCTCTTTCTTTGGAATCTGCAAGGGGATATGTGGACCTCTTTGAAGATTTCACTGGAAACGGGATCATCTTCACATAAAAACTAAACAGGAAGCATTCTCGGAAACTACTTTGTGATGTTTGTATTCAACTCCCAGAGTTGAACTTCCCTTTTGAAAGAGCAGCTATGAAACACTCTTTTTCGAGAATCTGCAAGTGGACGTTTGGAGGGCTTTGAGGCCTGTGGTGGAAAAGGAAATATCTTCACATAAAAACTAGATAGAAGCATTCTCAGAAACGACTTTGTGAGGATGGCATTCAACTCATGGAGTTGAACAATCCTATTGATAGAGCAGATTGGAATCACTCTTTTTGTAGAATCTGCAAATGGAGATTTGGACTGCTTTGAGGCCTACGGTCGTATAGGAAGGAACTTCATATAAAAGGCAAACGGAAGCATTCTCAGAATATTCTTTGTGATGATGGAGTTTCACTCACAGAGCTGAACATGCCTTTTGATGGAGCAGTTTCCAAATACACTTTTGGTAGAATCTGCAGGTGGACATTTGGACCTCTCTGAGGATTTCGTTGGAAACGGGAATAATTTCCCATAACTAAACACAAACACTCTGAGAAAGTTCTTCATGATGAATGCATTTAACTCGCAGAGATGAACCTGCCTTTGAGAGTTCAGGTTCGAAACACTCTTTCTGTAGAATCTGCAAGTGGATATTTGGACCACTGGGTGGCCTTCGTTCGAAACGGGTATATGTTCACGTAAAAACTAAAGAGAAGCATTCTCAGAAACTTCTGAGTGATGATTGCATTCAAGTCACACAGTTGAACCCTCCTTTTGATTGAGCAGTTTTGAAACTGTCTTTTTGTAGATTCTGTAAGTGGATACGTGGACCTCTTTGAAGATTTCTTTGGAAACGGGAATATTTCCACAGAAAAACTAAACTGAAGCATTCTCAGAAACTGCTTTGTGATGTTTGTGTTCGAGCCGCAGAGTTTAACATTGCTTTTCATAGAGCAGTTTTGAAATATTCTTTTGGCAGAATCTGCAAGTGGACATTTGGAGCACTTTCAGGCCTGTGGTGGAAAAGGCCTGAAAGCCTTTTCCTTTATCTTCACAGAAAGACGAGGGAGAAGCATTGTCAGAAACTTCTTTGTGATGATTGCATTCAACTCACAGAGTTGAAGATTCCTTTTGAAACAGCAGTTTCGAAACACTCTTTCTGTGGGATCTGCAAGGGGATATTTGGACCTCTTTGAAGATTTCGTTGGAAACGGGATAATCTTCACCTAAAAGCTGAAAGGAAGCATTCTCAGAAACTTCTTTGGGATGTTTGCATTCACCTCACAGAGTTGAACTTTCCCTTTGATAGCGCAGCTTCGACACACTTTGTCTACAATGTGCAAGTGGATATTTAGCGGGCTTGGAGGACTGTGTTGGAAAAGGAAATATCTTCTCCTAAAAACGACATAGAAGCATTCTCAGAAACTGCTCTGTGATGATTGCATTCAACTCCCAGAGTTGAACATTCCTTTTGATAGAGCAGTTTGCAAACACTCTTTTTGTAGAATATGCAAGTGGAGATTTGGACCGCTTTGAGGCCTGTGGTAGTAAAGGAAAGAACTTCATATAAAAACCAGACGGTAGCACTCTCAGAAAATTCTTTGTGACGATGGAGTTTAACTCAGAGAGCTGAACATTCGTTATGATGGAGCAGTTTCCAAACACACGTTTTGTAGAATCTGCAAGGGGATATTTGGACCTCTCTGAGGATTTCGTTGGAAACGGGATCAACTTCCCATAACTGAACGGAAGCAAACTCAGAACATTCTTTGTGATGTTTGCATTCATCTCACAGAGTTGAACCTTCCTTTGATAGTTGAGGTTTGCAGCACCCTTGTAGGAGAATCTGCAAGTGTATATTTTGACCACTTTGTAGCCTTCGTTTGAAACGTCTATATCTTCACATCAAACCTAGACAGAAGCATTCTCAGAAAGTTTTCTGCGATGACTGCATTCAACTCACAGAGTTGAACAATCCTTTTGATGGAGCAGTTTTGAAACCCTCTTTTTTTGGAATCTGCAAGGTGATATGTGGACCTCTTTGAAGATTTCTCTGGAAACGGGATCATCTTCACATAAGAACTAAACAGAAGCATTCTCGGAAACTACTTTGTGATGTTTGTATTCAACTCCCAGAGTTGAACTTTCCTTTTGAAAGAGCAGCTATGAAACACTCTTTTTCGAGAATCTGCAAGTGGACGTTTGGAGGGCTTTGAGGCCTGTGGTGGAAAAGGAAATATCTTCACATAAAAACTACATAGGAGCATTCTCAGAAACTACTTTGTGAGGATGGCATTCAACTCATGGAGTTGAACAATCCTATTGATAGAGCAGATTGGAATCACTCTTTTTGTAGAATCTGCAAATGGAGATTTGGACTGCTTTGAGGCCTACGGTCGTATAGGAAGGAACTTCATATAAAAGGCAAACGGAAGCATTCTCAGAATATTCTTTGTGATGATGGAGTTTCACTGACAGAGCTGAACATGCCTTTTGATGGAGCAGTTTCCAAATACACTTTTGGTAGAATCTGCAGGTGGATATTTGGAGCTCTCTGAGGATTTCGTTGGAAACGGGAATAATTTCCCATAACTAAACACAAACACTCTGAGAAAGTTCTTCATGATGAATGCATTTAACTCGCAGAGATGAACCTGCCTTTGAGAGTTCAGGTTCGAAACACTCTTTCTGTAGAATCTGCAAGTGGATATTTGGACCACTGGCTGGCCTTCGTTCGAAACGGGTATATGTTCACGTAAAAACTAAAGAGAAGCATTCTCAGAAACTTCTGAGTGATGATTGCATTCAAGTCACACAGTTGAACCCTCCTTTTGATGGAGCAGTTTTGAAACTGTCTTTTTGTAGAATCTGTAAGTGGATACGTGGACCTCTTTGAAGATTTCTTTGGAAACGGGAATATTTCCACAGAAAAACTAAACTGAAGCATTCTCAGAAACCGCTTTGTGATGTTTGTGTTCGAGCCACAGAGTTTAACATTGCTTTTCATAGAGCAGTTTTGAAATATTCTTTTGGCAGAATCTGCAAGTGGACATTTGGAGCGCTTTCAGGCCTGTGGTGGAAAAGGCCTGAAAGCCTTTTCCTTTATCTTCACAGAAAGACGAGAGAGAAGCATTGTCAGAAACTTCTTTGTGATGATTGCATTCAACTCACAGAGTTGAAGATTCCTTTTGAAACAGCAGTTTCGAAACACTCTTTCTGTGGGATCCGCAAGGGGATATTTGGACCTCTTTGAAGGTTTCGTTGGAAACGGGATAATCTTCACCTAAAAGCTAAACGGAAGCATTCTCAGAAACTTCTTTGGGATGTTTGCATTCACCTCACAGAGTTGAACTTTCCCTTTGATAGCGCAGCTTTGACACACTTTTTCTACAATGTGCAAGTGGCTATTTAGCGGGCTTGGAGGACTGTGTTGGAAAAGGAAATATCTTCTCCTAAAAACGACATAGAAGCATTCTCAGAAACTGCTCTGTGATGATTGCATTCAACTCCCAGAGTTGAACATTCCTTTTGATAGAGCAGTTTGCAAACACTCTTTTTGTAGAATCTGCAAGTGGAGATTTGGACCGCTTTGAGGCCTGTGGTAGTGAAGGAAAGAACTTCATATAAAAACCAGACGGTAGCACTCTCAGAAAATTCTTTGTGACGATGGAGTTTAACTCAGGGAGCTGAACATTCGTTATGATGGAGCAGTTTCCAAACACACGTTTTGTAGAATCTGCGAGGGGATATTTGGACCTCTCTGAGGATTTCGTTGGAAACGGGATCAACTTCCCATAACTGAACGGAAGCAAACTCAGAACATTCTTTGTGATGTTTGTATTCAACTCACAGAGTTGAACCTTCCTTTGATAGTTCAGGTTTGCAACACCCTTGTAGTAGAATCTGCAAGTGTATATTTTGACCACTTTGTAGCCTTCGTTTGAAACGTCTATATCTTCACATCAAACCTAGACAGAAGCATTCTCAGAAAGTTTTCTGCGATGACTGCATTCAACTCACAGAGTTGAACAATCCTTCTGATGGAGCAGTTTTGAAACCCTCTTTCTTTGGAATCTGCAAGGGGATATGTGGACCTCTTTGATGATTTCACTGGAAACGGGGTCATCTTCACATAAAAACTAAACAGAAGCATTCTCGGAAACTATTTTGTGATGTTTGTATTCAACTCCCAGAGTTGAACTTTCCTTTTGAAAGAGCAGCTATGAAACACTCTTTTTCGAGAATCTGCAAGTGGACGTTTGGAGGGCTTTGAGGCCTGTGGTGGAAAAGGAAATATCTTCACACAAAAACCAGATAGAAGCATTCTCAGAAACTACTTTGTGAGGATGGCATTCAACTCATGGAGTTGAACAATCCTATTGATAGAGCAGATTGGAATCACTCTTTTTGTAGAATCTGCAAATGGAGATTTGGACTGCTTTGAGGCCTACGGTCGTATAGGAAGGAACTTCATATAAAAGGCAAACGGAAGCATTCTCAGAATATTCTTTGTGATGATGGAGTTTCACTCACAGAGCTGAACATGCCTTTTGATGGAGCAGTTTCCAAATACACTTTTGGTAGAATCTGCAGGTGGATATTTGGAGCTCTCTGAGGATTTCGTTGGAAACGGGAATAATTTCCCATAACTAAACACAAACACTCTGAGAAAGTTCTTCATGATGAATGCATTTAACTCGCAGAGATGAACCTGCCTTTGAGAGTTCAGGTTCGAAACACTCTTTCTGTAGAATCTGCAAGTGGATATTTGGACCACTGGCTGGCCTTCGTTCGAAACGGGTATATGTTCACGTAAAAACTAAAGAGAAGCATTCTCAGAAACTTCTGAGTGATGATTGCATTCAAGTCACACAGTTGAACCCTCCTTTTGATGGAGCAGTTTTGAAACTGTCTTTTTGTAGAATCTGTAAGTGGATACGTGGACCTCTTTGAAGATTTCTTTGGAAACGGGAATATTTCCACAGAAAAACTAAACTGAAGCATTCTCAGAAACTGCTTTGTGATGTTTGTGTTCGAGCCACAGAGTTTAACATTGCTTTTCATAGAGCAGTTTTGAAATATTCTTTTGGCAGAATCTGCAAGTGGACATTTGGAGCGCTTTCAGGCCTGTGGTGGAAAAGGCCTGAAAGCCTTTTCCTTTATGTTCACAGAAAGACGAGAGAGAGAAGCATTGTCAGAAACTTCTTTGTGATGATTGCATTCAACTCACAGAGTTGAAGATTCCTTTTGAAACAGCAGTTTCGAAACACTCTTTCTGTGGGATCCGCAAGGGGATATTTGGACCTCTTTGAAGGTTTCGTTGGAAACGGGATAATCTTCACCTAAAAGCTAAACGGAAGCATTCTCAGAAACTTCTTTGGGATGTTTGCATTCACCTCACAGAGTTGAACTTTCCCTTTGATAGCGCAGCTTTGACACACTTTTTCTACAATGTGCAAGTGGCTATTTAGCGGGCTTGGAGGACTGTGTTGGAAAAGGAAATATCTTCTCCTAAAAACGACATAGAAGCATTCTCAGAAACTGCTCTGTGATGATTGCATTCAACTCCCAGAGTTGAACATTCCTTTTGATAGAGCAGTTTGCAAACACTCTTTTTGTAGAATCTGCAAGTGGAGATTTGGACCGCTTTGAGGCCTGTGGTAGTGAAGGAAAGAACTTCATATAAAAACCAGACGGTAGCACTCTCAGAAAATTCTTTGTGACGATGGAGTTTAACTCAGGGAGCTGAACATTCGTTATGATGGAGCAGTTTCCAAACACACGTTTTGTAGAATCTGCGAGGGGATATTTGGACCTCTCTGAGGATTTCGTTGGAAACGGGATCAACTTCCCATAACTGAACGGAAGCAAACTCAGAACATTCTTTGTGATGTTTGTATTCAATTCACAGAGTTGAACCTTCCTTTGATAGTTCAGGTTTGCAACACCCTTGTAGTAGAATCTGCAAGTGTATATTTTGACCACTTTGTAGCCTTCGTTTGAAACGTCTATATCTTCACATCAAACCTAGACAGAAGCATTCTCAGAAAGTTTTCTGCGATGACTGCATTCAACTCACAGAGTTGAACAATCCTTCTGATGGAGCAGTTTTGAAACCCTCTTTCTTTGGAATCTGCAAGGGGATATGTGGACCTCTTTGAAGATTTCACTGGAAACGGGATCATCTTCACATAAAAACTAAACAGAAGCATTCTCGGAAACTACTTTGTGATGTTTGTATTCAACTCCCAGAGTTGAACTTTCCTTTTGAAAGAGCAGCTATGAAACACTCTTTTTCGAGAATCTGCAAGTGGACGTTTGGAGGGCTTGGAGGCCTGTGGTGGAAAAGGAAATACCTTCACATAAAAACTAGATAGAAGCATTCTCAGAAACTACTTTGTGAGGATGGCATTCAACTCATGGAGTTGAACAATCCTATTGATAGAGCAGATTGGAATCACTCTTTTTGTAGAATCTGCAAATGGAGATTTGGACTGCTTTGAGGCCTACGGTCGTATAGGAAGGAACTTCAGATAAAAGGCAAACGGAAGCATTCTCAGAATATTCTTTGTGATGATGGAGTTTCACTCACAGAGCTGAACATGCCTTTTGATGGAGCAGTTTCCAAATACACTTTTGGTAGAATCTGCAGGTGGATATTTGGACCACTCTGAGGATTTCGTTGGAAACGGGAATAATTTCCCATAACTAAACACAAACACTCTGAGAAAGTTCTTCATGATGAATGCATTTAACTCGCAGAGATGAACCTGCCTTTGAGAGTTCAGGTTCGAAACACTCTTTCTGTATAATCTGCAAGTGGATATTTGGACCACTGGGTGGCCTTCGTTCGAAACGGGTATATGTTCACGTAAAAACTAAAGAGAAGCATTCTCAGAAACTTCTGAGTGATGATTGCATTCAAGTCACACAGTTGAACCCTCCTTTTGATGGAGCAGTTTTGAAACTGTCTTTTTGTAGAATCTGTAAGTGGATACGTGGACCTCTTTGAAGATTTCTTTGGAAACGGGAATATTTCCACAGAAAAACTAAACTGAAGCATTCTCAGAAACCGCTTTGTGATGTTTGTGTTCGAGCCGCAGAGTTTAACATTGCTTTTCATAGAGCAGTTTTGAAATATTCTTTTGGCAGAATCTGCAAGTGGACATTTGGAGCGCTTTCAGGCCTGTGGTGGCAAAGGCCTGAAAGCCTTTTCCTTTATCTTCACAGAAAGACGAGAGAGAAGCATTGTCAGAAACTTCTTTGTGATGATTGCATTCAACTCACAGAGTTGAAGATTCCTTTTGAAACAGCAGTTTCGAAACACTCTTTCTGTGGGATCCGCAAGGGGATATTTGGACCTCTTTGAAGGTTTCGTTGGAAACGGGATAATCTTCACCTAAAAGCTAAACGGAAGCATTCTCAGAAACTTCTTTGGGATGTTTGCATTCACCTCACAGAGTTGAACTTTCCCTTTGATAGCGCAGCTTTGACACACTTTTTCTACAATGTGCAAGTGGCTATTTAGCGGGCTTGGAGGACTGTGTTGGAAAAGGAAATATCTTCTCCTAAAAACGACATAGAAGCATTCTCAGAAACTGCTCTGTGATGATTGCATTCAACTCCCAGAGTTGAACATTCCTTTTGATAGAGCAGTTTGCAAACACTCTTTTTGTAGAATCTGCAAGTGGAGATTTGGACCGCTTTGAGGCCTGTGGTAGTGAAGGAAAGAACTTCATATAAAAACCAGACGGTAGCACTCTCAGAAAATTCTTTGTGACGATGGAGTTTAACTCAGGGAGCTGAACATTCGTTATGATGGAGCAGTTTCCAAACACACGTTTTGTAGAATCTGCAAGGGGATATTTTGACCTCTCTGAGGATTTCGTTGGAAACGGGATCAACTTCCCATAACTGAACGGAAGCAAACTCAGAACATTCTTTGTGATGTTTGTATTCAACTCACAGAGTTGAACCTTCCTTTGATAGTTCAGGTTTGCAACACCCTTGTAGTAGAATCTGCAAGTGTATATTTTGACCACTTTGTAGCCTTCATTTGAAATGTCTATACCTTCACATCAAACCTAGACAGAAGCATTCTCAGAAAGTTTTCTGCGATGACTGCATTCAACTCACAGAGTTGAACAATCCTTCTGATGGAGCAGTTTTGAAACCCTCTTTCTTTGGAATCTGCAAGGGGATATGTGGACCTCTTTGAAGATTTCACTGGAAACGGGATCATCTTCACATAAAAACTAAACAGAAGCATTCTCGGAAACTACTTTGTGATGTTTGTATTCAACTCCCAGAGTTGAACTTTCCTTTTGAAAGAGCAGCTATGAAACACTCTTTTTCGAAAATCTGCAAGTGGACGTTTGGAGGGCTTTGAGGCCTGTGGTGGAAAAGGAAATATCTTCACATAAAGACTAGATAGAAGCATTCTCAGAAACTACTTTGTGAGGATGGCATTCAACTCATGGAGTTGAACAATCCTATTGATAGAGCAGATTGGAATCACTCTTTTTGTAGAATCTGCAAATGGAGATTTGGACTGCTTTGAGGCCTACGGTAGTATAGGAAGGAACTTCATATAAAAGGCAAACGGAAGCATTCTCAGAATATTCTTTGTGATGATGGAGTTTCACTCACAGAGCTGAACATGCCTTTTGATGGAGCAGTTTCCAAATACACTTTTGGTAGAATCTGCAGGTGGATATTTGGAGCTCTCTGAGGATTTCGTTGGAAACGGGAATAATTTCCCATAACTAAACACAAACACGCTGAGAAAGTTCTTCATGATGAATGCATTGAACTCGCAGAGATGAACCTGCCTTTGAGAGTTCAGGTTCGAAACACTCTTTCTGTAGAATCTGCAAGTGGATATTTGGACCACTGGCTGGCCTTCGTTCGAAACGGGTATATGTTCACGTAAAAACTAAAGAGAAGCGTTCTCAGAAACTTCTGAGTGATGATTGCATTCAAGTCACACAGTTGAACCCTCCTTTTGATTGAGCAGTTTTGAAACTGTCTTTTTGTAGAATCTGTAAGTGGATGCGTGGACCTCTTTGAAGATTTCTTTGGAAACAGGAATATTTCCACAGAAAAACTAAACTGAAGCATTCTCTGAAACTGCTTTGTGATGTTTGTGTTCGAGCCGCAGAGTTTAACATTGCTTTTCATAGAGCAGTTTTGAAATATTCTTTTGGCAGAATCTGCAAGTGGACATTTGGAGCGCTTTCAGGCCTGTGGTGGAAAAGGCCTGAAAGCATTTTCCTTTATCTTCATAGAAAGACGAGAGAGAAGCATTGTCAGAAACTTCTTTGTGATGATTGCATTCAACTCACAGAGTTGAAGATTCCTTTTGAAACAGCAGTTTCGAAACACTCTTTCTGTGGGATCCGCAAGGGGATATTTGGACCTCTTTGAAGATTTCGTTGGAAACGGGATAATCTTCACCTAAAAGCTAAACGGAAGCATTCTCAGAAACTTCTTTGGGATGTTTGCATTCACCTCACAGAGTTGAACTTTCCCTTTGATAGCGCAGCTTCGACACACTTTTTCTACAATGTGCAAGTGGATATTTAGCGGGCTTGGAGGACTGTGTTGGAAAAGGAAATATCTTCTCCTAAAAACGACATAGAAGCATTCTCAGAAACTGCTCTGTGATGATTGCATTCAACTCCCAGAGTTGAACATTCCTTTTGATAGAGCAGTTTGCAAACACTCTTTTTGTAGAATCTGCAAGTGGAGATTTGGACCGCTTTGAGGCCTGTGGTAGTAAAGGAAAGAACTTCATATAAAAACTAGACGGTAGCACTCTCAGAACATTCTTTGTGACGATGGAGTTTAACTCAGAGAGCTGAACATTCGTTATGATGGAGCAGTTTCCAAACACACGTTTTGTAGAATCTGCAAGGGGATATTTGGCCCTCTCTGAGGATTTCGTTGGAAATGGGATCAACTTCCCATAAATGAACGGAAGCAAACTCAGAACATTCTTTGTGATGTTTGTATTCAACTCACAGAGTTGAACCTTCCTTTGATAGTTCAGGTTTGCAACACCCTTGTAGTAGAATCTGCAAGTATATATTTTGACCACTTTGTAGCCTTCGTTTGAAACGTCTATATCTTCACATCAAACCTAGACAGAAGCATTCTCAGAAAGTTTTCTGCGATGACTGCATTCAACTCACAGAGTTGAACAATCCTTCTGATGGAGCAGTTTTGAAACCCTCTTTCTTTGGAATCTGCAAGGGGATATGTGGACCTCTTTGAAGATTTCACTGGAAACGGGATGATCTTCACATAAGAACTAAACAGAAGCATTCTCGGAAACTACTTTGTGATGTTTGTATTCAACTCCCAGAGTTGAACTTTCCTTTTGAAAGAGCAGCTATGAAACACTCTTTTTCGAGAATCTGCAAGTGGACGTTTGGACGGCTTTGAGGCCTGTGGTGGAAAAGGAAATATCTTCACATAAAAACTAAATAGAAGCATTCTCAGAAACTACTTTGTGAGGATGGCATTCAACTCATGGAGTTGAACAATCCTATTGATAGAGCAGATTGGAATCACTCTTTTTGTAGAATCTGCAAATGGAGATTTGGACTGCTTTGAGGCCTACGGTCGTATAGGAAGGAACTTCATATAAAAGGCAAACGGAAGCATTCTCAGAATATTCTTTGTGATGATGGAGTTTCACTCACAGAGCTGAACATGCCTTTTGATGGAGCAGTTTCCAAATACACTTTTGGTAGAATCTGCAGGTGGATATTTGGAGCTCTCTGAGGATTTCGTTGGAAACGGGAATAATTTCCCATAACTAAACACAAACACTCTGAGAAAGTTCTTCATGATGAATGCATTTAACTTGCAGAGATGAACCTGCCTTTGAGAGTTCAGGTTCGAAACACTCTTTCTGTAGAATCTGCAAGTGGATATTTGGACCACTGGGTGGCCTTCGTTCGAAACGGGTATATGTTCACGTAAAAACTAAAGAGAAGCATTCTCAGAAACTTCTGAGTGATGATTGCATTCAAGTCACACAGTTGAACCCTCCTTTTGATGGAGCAGTTTTGAAACTGTCTTTTTGTAGAATCTGTAAGTGGATACGTGGACCTCTTTGAAGATTTCTTTGGAAACGGGAATATTTCCACAGAAAAACTAAACTGAAACATTCTCAGAAACCGCTTTGTGATGTTTGTGTTCCAGCCACAGAGTTTAACATTGCTTTTCATAGAGCAGTTTTGAAATATTCTTTTCGCAGAATCTGCAAGTGGACATTTGGAGCGCTTTCAGGCCTGTGGTGGAAAAGGCCTGAAAGCCTTTTCCTTTATCTTGACAGAAAGACGAGAGAGAAGCATTGTCAGAAACTTCTTTGTGATGATTGCATTCAACTCACAGAGTTGAAGATTCCTTTTGAAACAGCAGTTTCGAAACACTCTTTCTGTGGGATCCGCAAGGGGATATTTGGACCTCTTTGAAGGTTTCGTTGGAAACGGGATAATCTTCACCTAAAAGCTAAACGGAAGCATTCTCAGAAACTTCTTTGGGATGTTTGCATTCACCTCACAGAGTTGAACTTTCCCTTTGATAGCGCAGCTTCGACACACTTTTTCTACAATGTGCAAGTGGCTATTTAGCGGGCTTGGAGGACTGTGTTGGAAAAGGAAATATCTTCTCCTAAAAACGACATAGAAGCATTCTCAGAAACTGCTCTGTGATGATTGCATTCAACTCCCAGAGTTGAACATTCCTTTTGATAGAGCAGTTTGCAAACACTCTTTATGTAGAATCTGGAAGTGGAGATTTGGACCGCTTTGAGGCCTGGGGTAGTGAAGGAAAGAGCTTCATATAAAAACCAGACGGTAGCACTCTCAGAAAATTCTTTGTGACGATGGAGTTTAACTCAGGGAGCTGAACATTCGTTATGATGGAGCAGTTTCCAAACACACGTTTTGTAGAATCTGCAAGGGGATATTTGGACCTCTCTGAGGATTTCGTTGGAAACGGGATCAACTTCCCATAACTGAACGGAAGCAAACTCAGAACATTCTTTGTGATGTTTGTATTCAACTCACAGAGTTGAACCTTCCTTTGATAGTTCAGGTTTGCAACACCCTTGTAGTAGAATCTGCAAGTGTATATTTTGACCACTTTGTAGCCTTCGTTTGAAACGTCTATATCTTCACATCAAACCTAGAAAGAAGCATTCTCAGAAAGTTTTCTGCGATGACTGCATTCAACTCACAGAGTTGAACAATCCTTCTGATGGAGCAGTTTTGAAACCCTCTTTCTTTGGAATCTGCAAGGGGATATGTGGACCTCTTTGAAGATTTCACTGGAAACGGGATCATCTTCACATAAAAACTAAACAGAAGCATTCTCGGAAACTATTTTGTGATGTTTGTATTCAACTCCCAGAGTTGAACTTTCCTTTTGAAAGAGCAGCTATGAAACACTCTTTTTCGAGAATCTGCAAGTGGACGTTTGGAGGGCTTTGAGGCCTGTGGTGGAAAAGGAAATATCTTCACACAAAAACCAGATAGAAGCATTCTCAGAAACTGCTTTGTGAGGATGGCATTCAACTCATGGAGTTGAACAATCCTATTGATAGAGCAGATTGGAATCACTCTTTTTGTAGAATCTGCAAATGGAGATTTGGACTGCTTTGAGGCCTACGGTAGTACAGGAAGGAACTTCATATAAAACGCAAACGGAAGCATTCTCAGAATATTCTTTGTGATGATGGAGTTTCACTCACAGAGCTGAACATGCCTTTTGATGGAGCAGTTTCCAAATACACTTTTGGTAGAATCTGCAGGTGGATATTTGGAGCTCTCTGAGGATTTCGTTGGAAACGGGAATAATTTCCCATAACTAAACACAAACACGCTGAGAAAGTTCTTCATGATGAATGCATTTAACTCGCAGAGATGAACCTGCCTTTGAGAGTTCAGGTTCGAAACACTCTTTCTGTAGAATCTGCAAGTGGATATTTGGACCACTGGCTGGCCTTCGTTCGAAACGGGTATATGTTCACGTAAAAACTAAAGAGAAGCATTCTCAGAAACTTCTGAGTGATGATTGCATTCAAGTCACACAGTTGAACCCTCCTTTTGATGGAGCAGTTTTGAAACTGTCTTTTTGTAGAATCTGTAAGTGGATACGTGGACCTCTTTGAAGATTTCTTTGGAAACGGGAATATTTCCACAGAAAAACTAAACTGAAGCATTCTCAGAAACCGCTTTGTGATGTTTGTGTTCGAGCCACAGAGTTTAACATTGCTTTTCATAGAGCAGTTTTGAAATATTCTTTTGGCAGAATCTGCAAGTGGACATTTGGAGCGCTTTCAGGCCTGTGGTGGAAAAGGGCCTGAAAGCCTTTTCCTTTATCTTCACAGAAAGACGAGAGAGAAGCATTGTCAGAAACTTCTTTGTGATGATTGCATTCAACTCACAGAGTTGAAGATTCCTTTTGAAACAGCAGTTTCGAAACACTCTTTCTGTGGGATCCGCAAGGGGATATTTGGACCTCTTTGAAGGTTTCGTTGGAAACGGGATAATCTTCACCTAAAAGCTAAACGGAAGCATTCTCAGAAACTTCTTTGGGATGTTTGCATTCACCTCACAGAGTTGAACTTTCCCTTTGATAGCGCAGCTTTGACACACTTTTTCTACAATGTGCAAGTGGCTATTTAGCGGGCTTGGAGGACTGTGTTGGAAAAGGAAATATCTTCTCCTAAAAACGACATAGAAGCATTCTCAGAAACTGCTCTGTGATGATTGCATTCAACTCCCAGAGTTGAACATTCCTTTTGATAGAGCAGTTTGCAAACACTCTTTTTGTAGAATCTGCAAGTGGAGATTTGGACCGCTTTGAGGCCTGTGGTAGTGAAGGAAAGAACTTCATATAAAAACCAGACGGTAGCACTCTCAGAAAATTCTTTGTGACGATGGAGTTTAACTCAGGGAGCTGAACATTCGTTATGATGGAGCAGTTTCCAAACACACGTTTTGTAGAATCTGCAAGGGGATATTTGGACCTCTCTGAGGATTTCGTTGGAAACGGGATCAGCTTCCCATAACTGAACGGAAGCAAACTCAGAACATTCTTTGTGATGTTTGTATTCAACTCACAGAGTTGAACCTTCCTTTGATAGTTCAGGTTTGCAACACCCTTGTAGTAGAATCTGCAAGTGTATATTTTGACCACTTTGTAGCCTTCATTTGAAACGTCTATATCTTCACATCAAACCTAGACAGAAGCATTCTCAGAAAGTTTTCTGCGATGACTGCATTCAACTCACAGAGTTGAACAATCCTTCTGATGGAGCAGTTTTGAAACCCTCTTTCTTTGGAATCTGCAAGGGGATATGTGGACCTCTTTGAAGATTTCACTGGAAACGGGATCATCTTCACATAAAAACTAAACAGAAGCATTCTCGGAAACTACTTTGTGATGTTTGTATTCAACTCCCAGAGTTGAACTTTCCTTTTGAAAGAGCAGCTATGAAACACTCTTTTTCGAGAATCTGCAAGTGGACGTTTGGAGGGCTTTGAGGCCTGTGGTGGAAAAGGAAATATCTTCACATAAAAACTAGATAGAAGCATTCTCAGAAACGACTTTGTGAGGATGGCATTCAACTCATGGAGTTGAACAATCCTATTGATAGAGCAGATTGGAATCACTCTTTTTGTAGAATCTGCAAATGGAGATTTGGACTGCTTTGAGGCCTACGGTAGTATAGGAAGGAACTTCATATAAAAGGCAAACGGAAGCATTCTCAGAATATTCTTTGTGATGATGGAGTTTCACTCACAGAGCTGAACATGCCTTTTGATGGAGCAGTTTCCAAATACACTTTTGGTAGAATCTGCAGGTGGATATTTGGACCTCTCTGAGGATTTCGTTGGAAACGGGAATAATTTCCCATAACTAAACACAAACACTCTGAGAAAGTTCTTCATGATGAATGCATTTAACTCGCAGAGATGAACCTGCCTTTGAGAGTTCAGGTTCGAAACACTCTTTCTGTAGAATCTGCAAGTGGATATTTGGACCACTGGCTGGCCTTCGTTCGAAACGGGTATATGTTCACGTAAAAACTAAAGAGAAGCATTCTCAGAAACTTCTGAGTGATGATTGCATTCAAGTCACACAGTTGAACCCTCCTTTTGATGGAGCAGTTTTGAAACTGTCTTTTTGTAGAATCTGTAAGTGGATACGTGGACCTCTTTGAAGATTTCTTTGGAAACGGGAATATTTCCACAGAAAAACTAAACTGAAGCATTCTCAGAAACTGCTTTGTGATGTTTGTGTTCGAGCCACAGAGTTTAACATTGCTTTTCATAGAGCAGTTTTGAAATATTCTTTTGGCAGAATCTGCAAGTGGACATTTGGAGCGCTTTCAGGCCTGTGGTTGAAAAGGCCTGAAAGCCTTTTCCTTTATCTTCACAGAAAGACGAGAGAGAAGCATTGTCAGAAACTTCTTTGTGATGATTGCATTCAACTCACAGAGTTGAAGATTCCTTTTGAAACAGCAGTTTCGAAACACTCTTTCTGTGGGATCCGCAAGGGGATATTTGGACCTCTTTGAAGCTTTCGTTGGAAACGGGATAATCTTCACCTAAAAGCTAAACGGAAGCATTCTCAGAAACTTCTTTGGGATGTTTGCATTCACCTCACAGAGTTGAACTTTCCCTTTGATAGCGCAGCTTTGACACACTTTTTCTACAATGTGCAAGTGGCTATTTAGCGGGCTTGGAGGACTGTGTTGGAAAAGGAAATATCTTCTCCTAAAAACGACATAGAAGCATTCTCAGAAACTGCTCTGTGATGATTGCATTCAACTCCCAGAGTTGAACATTCCTTTTGATAGAGCAGTTTGCAAACACTCTTTTTGTAGAATCTGCAAGTGGAGATTTGGACCGCTTTGAGGTCTGTGGTAGTGAAGGAAAGAACTTCATATAAAAACCAGACGGTAGCACTCTCAGAAAATTCTTTGTGACGATGGAGTTTAACTCAGGGAGCTGAACATTCGTTATGATGGAGCAGTTTCCAAACACACGTTTTGTAGAATCTGCAAGGGGATATTGGGACCTCTCTGAGGATTTCGTTGGAAACGGGATCAACTTCCCATAACTGAACGGAAGCAAACTCAGAACATTCTTTGTGATGTTTGTATTCAACTCACAGAGTTGAACCTTCCTTTGATAGTTCAGGTTTGCAACACCCTTGTAGTAGAATCTGCAAGTGTATATTTTGACCACTTTGTAGCCTTCGTTTGAAACGTCTATATCTTCACATCAAACCTAGACAGAAGCATTCTCAGAAAGTTTTCTGCGATGACTGCATTCAACTCACAGAGTTGAACAATCCTTCTGATGGAGCAGTTTTGAAACCCTCTTTCTTTGGAATCTGCAAGGGGATATGTGGACCTCTTTGAAGATTTCACTGGAAACGGGATCATCTTCACATAAAAACTAAACAGGAAGCATTCTCGGAAACTACTTTGTGATGTTTGTATTCAACTCCCAGAGTTGAACTTTCCTTTTGAAAGAGCAGCTATGAAACACTCTTTTTCGAGAATCTGCAAGTGGACGTTTGGAGGGCTTTGAGGCCTGTGGTGGAAAAGGAAATATCTTCACATAAAAACTAGATAGAAGCATTCTCAGAAACGACTTTGTGAGGATGGCATTCAACTCATGGAGTTGAACAATCCTATTGATAGAGCAGATTGGAATCACTCTTTTTGTAGAATCTGCAAATGGAGATTTGGACTGCTTTGAGGCCTCCGGTCGTATAGGAAGGAACTTCATATAAAAGGCAAACGGAAGCATTCTCAGAATATTCTTTGTGATGATGGAGTTTCACTCACAGAGCTGAACATGCCTTTTGAGATGGGAGCAGTTTCCAAATACACTTTTGGTAGAATCTGCAGGTGGATATTTGGAGCTCTCTGAGGATTTCGTTGGAAACGGGAATAATTTCCCATAACTAAACACAAACACTCTGAGAAAGTTCTTCATGATGAATGCATTTAACTCGCAGAGATGAACCTGCCTTTGAGAGTTCAGGTTCGAAACACTCTTTCTGTAGAATCTGCAAGTGGATATTTGGACCACTGGCTGGCCTTCGTTCGAAACGGGTATATGTTCACGTAAAAACTAAAGAGAAGCATTCTCAGAAACTTCTGAGTGATGATTGCATTCAAGTCACACGGTTGAACCCTCCTTTTGATGGAGCAGTTTTGAAACTGTCTTTTTGTAGAATCTGTAAGTGGATACGTGGACCTCTTTGAAGATTTCTTTGGAAACGGGAATATTTCCACAGAAAAACTAAACTGAAACATTCTCAGAAACTGCTTTGTGATGTTTGTGTTCCAGCCACAGAGTTTAACATTGCTTTTCATAGAGCAGTTTTGAAATATTCTTTTCGCAGAATCTGCAAGTGGACATTTGGAGCGCTTTCAGGCCTGTGGTGGAAAAGGCCTGAAAGCCTTTTCCTTTATCTTCACAGAAAGACGAGAGAGAAGCATTGTCAGAAACTTCTTTGTGATGATTGCATTCAACTCACAGAGTTGAAGATTCCTTTTGAAACAGCAGTTTCGAAACACTCTTTCTGTGGGATCCGCAAGGGGATATTTGGACCTCTTTGAAGGTTTCGTTGGAAACGGGATAATCTTCACCTAAAAGCTAAACGGAAGCATTCTCAGAAACTTCTTTGGGATGTTTGCATTCACCTCACAGAGTTGAACTTTCCCTTTGATAGCGCAGCTTTGACACACTTTTTCTACAATGTGCAAGTGGCTATTTAGCGGGCTTGGAGGACTGTGTTGGAAAAGGAAATATCTTCTCCTAAAAACGACATAGAAGCATTCTCAGAAACTGCTCTGTGATGATTGCATTCAACTCCCAGAGTTGAACATTCCTTTTGATAGAGCAGTTTGCAAACACTCTTTTTGTAGAATCTGCAAGTGGAGATTTGGACCGCTTTGAGGCCTGTGGTAGTGAAGGAAAGAACTTCATATAAAAACCAGACGGTAGCACTCTCAGAAAATTCTTTGTGACGATGGAGTTTAACTCAGGGAGCTGAACATTCGTTATGATGGAGCAGTTTCCAAACACACGTTTTGTAGAATCTGCAAGGGGATATTTGGACCTCTCTGAGGATTTCGTTGGAAACGGGATCAACTTCCCATAACTGAACGGAAGCAAACTCAGAACATTCTTTGTGATGTTTGTATTCAACTCACAGAGTTGAACCTTCCTTTGATAGTTCAGGTTTGCAACACCCTTGTAGTAGAATCTGCAAGTGTAT
The DNA here is from genome assembly GCF_000001405.40 of Homo sapiens. NCBI lineage: Eukaryota > Metazoa > Chordata > Mammalia > Primates > Hominidae > Homo > Homo sapiens. The sequence goes on from NC_000023.11 coordinate 60,521,453, forward strand.
ATTTTGACCACTTTGTAGCCTTCGTTTGAAACGTCTATATCTTCACATCAAACCTAGACAGAAGCATTCTCAGAAAGTTTTCTGCGATGACTGCATTCAACTCACAGAGTTGAACAATCCTTCTGATGGAGCAGTTTTGAAACCCTCTTTCTTTGGAATCTGCAAGGGGATATGTGGACCTCTTTGAAGATTTCACTGGAAACGGGATCATCTTCACATAAAAACTAAACAGAAAGCATTCTCGGAAACTACTTTGTGATGTTTGTATTCAACTCCCAGAGTTGAACTTTCCTTTTGAAAGAGCAGCTATGAAACACTCTTTTTCGAGAATCTGAAAGTGGACGTTTGGAGGGCTTTGAGGCCTGTGGTGGAAAAGGAAATATCTTCACATAAAAACTAGATAGAAGCATTCTCAGAAACTACTTTGGAAGATGGCATTCAACTCATGGAGTTGAACAATCCTATTGATAGAGCAGATTGGAATCACTCTTTTTGTAGAATCTGCAAATGGAGATTTGGACTGCTTTGAGGCCTACGGTCGTATAGGAAGGAACTTCATATAACAGGCAAACGGAAGCATTCTCAGAATATTCTTTGTGATGATGGAGTTTCACTCACAGAGCTGAACATGCCTTTTGATGGAGCAGTTTCCAAATACACTTTTGGTAGAATCTGCAGGTGGATATTTGGAGCTCTTTGAGGATTTCGTTGGAAACGGGAATAATTTCCCATACCTAAACACAAACACGCTGAGAAAGTTCTTCATGATGAATGCATTTAACTCGCAGAGATGAACCTGCCTTTGAGAGTTCAGGTTCGAAACACTCTTTCTGTAGAATCTGCAAGTGGATATTTGGACCACTGGCTGGCCTTCGTTCGAAACGGGTATATGTTCACGTAAAAACTAAAGAGAAGCGTTCTCAGAAACTTCTGAGTGATGAATGCATTCAAGTCACACAGTTGAACCCTCCTTTTGATTGAGCAGTTTTGAAACTGTCTTTTTGTAGAATCTGTAAGTGGATGCGTGGACCTCTTTGAAGATTTCTTTGGAAACGGGAATATTTCCACAGAAAAACTAAACTGAAGCATTCTCAGAAACTGCTTTGTGATGTTTGTGTTCGAGCCGCAGAGTTTAACATTGCTTTTCATAGAGCAGTTTTGAAATATTCTTTTGGCAGAATCTGCAAGTGGACATGTGGAGCGCTTTCAGGCCTGTGGTGGAAATGGCCTGAAAGCCTTTTCCTTTATCTTCACAGAAAGACGAGAGAGAAGCATTGTCAGAAACTTCTTTGTGATGATTGCATTCAACTCACAGAGTTGAAGATTCCTTTTGAAACAGCAGTTTCGAAACACTCTTTCTGTGGGATCCGCAAGGGGATATTTGGACCTCTTTGAAGATTTCGTTGGAAACGGGATAATCTTCACTTAAAGCTAAACGGAAGCATTCTCAGAAACTTCTTTGGGATGTTTGCATTCACCTCACAGAGTTGAACTTTCCCTTTGATAGCGCAGCTTCGACACACTTTTTCTACAATGTGTAAGTGGATATTTAGCGGGCTTGGAGGACTGTGTTGGAAAAGGAAATATCTTCTCCTAAAAACGACATAGAAGCATTCTCAGAAACTGCTCTGTGATGATTGCATTCAACTCCCAGAGTTGAACATTCCTTTTGATAGAGCAGTTTGCAAACACTCTTTTTGTAGAATCTGCAAGTGGAGATTTGGACCGCTTTGAGGCCTGTGGTAGTGAAGGAAAGAACTTCATATAAAAACCAGACGGTAGCACTCTCAGAAAATTCTTTGTGACGATGGAGTTTAACTCAGAGCAGCTGAACATTCGTTATGATGGAGCAGTTTCCAAACACACGTTTTGTAGAATCTGCAAGGGGATATTTGGACCTCTCTGAGGATTTCGTTGGAAACGGGATCAACTTCCCATAACTGAACGGAAGCAAACTCAGAACATTCTTTGTGATGTTTGTATTCAACTCACAGAGTTGAACCTTCCTTTGATAGTTCAGGTTTGCAACACCCTTGTAGTAGAATCTGCAAGTGTATATTTTGACCACTTTGTAGCCTTCGTTTGAAACATCTATATCTTCACATCAAACCTAGACAGAAGCATTCTCAGAAAGTTTTCTGCGATGACTGCATTCAACTCACAGAGTTGAACAATCCTTTTGATGGAGCAGTTTTGAAACCCTCTTTCTTTGGAATCTGCAAGGGGATATGTGGACCTCTTTGAAGATTTCACTGGAAACGGGATCATCTTCACATAAAAACTAAACAGAAGCATTCTCGGAAACTAGTTTGTGATGTTTGTATTCAACTCCCAGAGTTGAACTTTCCTTTTGAAAGAGCAGCTATGAAACACTCTTTTTCGAGAATCTGCAAGTGGACGTTTGGAGGGCTTTGAGGTCTGTGGTGGAAAAGGAAATATCTTCACACAAAAACCAGATAGAAGCATTCTCAGAAACTACTTTGTGAGGATGGCATTCAACTCATGGAGTTGAACAATCCTATTGATAGAGCAGATTGGAATCACTCTTTTTGTAGAATCTGCAAATGGAGATTTGGACTGCTTTGAGGCCTACGGTAGTACAGGAAGGAACTTCATATAAAAGGCAAACGGAAGCATTCTCAGAATATTCTTTGTGATGATGGAGTTTCACTCACAGAGCTGAACATGCCTTTTGATGGAGCAGTTTCCAAATACACTTTTGGTAGAATCTGCAGGTGGATATTTGGAGCTCTCTGAGGATTTCGTTGGAAACGGGAATAATTTCCCATAACTAAACACAAACACTCTGAGAAAGTTCTTCATGATGAATGCATTCAACTCGCAGAGATGAACCTGCCTTTGAGAGTTCAGGTTCGAAACACTCTTTCTGTAGAATCTGCAAGTGGATATTTGGACCACTGGCTGGCCTTCGTTCGAAACGGGTATATGTTCACGTAAAAACTAAAGAGAAGCATTCTCAGAAACTTCTGAGTGATGATTGCATTCAAGTCACACAGTTGAACCCTCCTTTTGATGGAGCAGTTTTGAAACTGTCTTTTTGTAGAATCTGTAAGTGGATACGTGGACCTCTTTGAAGATTTCTTTGGAAACGGGAATATTTCCACAGAAAAACTAAACTGAAGCATTCTCAGAAACCGCTTTGTGATGTTTGTGTTCGAGCCGCAGAGTTTAACATTGCTTTTCATAGAGCAGTTTTGAAATATTCTTTTGGCAGAATCTGCAAGTGGACATTTGGAGCGCTTTCAGGCCTGTGGTGGCAAAGGCCTGAAAGCCTTTTCCTTTATCTTCACAGAAAGACGAGAGAGAAGCATTGTCAGAAACTTCTTTGTGATGATTGCATTCAACTCACAGAGTTGAAGATTCCTTTTGAAACAGCAGTTTCGAAACACTCTTTCTGTGGGATCCGCAAGGGGATATTTGGACCTCTTTGAAGGTTTCGTTGGAAACGGGATAATCTTCACCTAAAAGCTAAACGGAAGCATTCTCAGAAACTTCTTTGGGATGTTTGCATTCACCTCACAGAGTTGAACTTTCCCTTTGATAGCGCAGCTTTGACACACTTTTTCTACAATGTGCAAGTGGCTATTTAGCGGGCTTGGAGGACTGTGTTGGAAAAGGAAATATCTTCTCCTAAAAACGACATAGAAGCATTCTCAGAAACTGCTCTGTGATGATTGCATTCAACTCCCAGAGTTGAACATTCCTTTTGATAGAGCAGTTTGCAAACACTCTTTTTGTAGAATCTGCAAGTGGAGATTTGGACCGCTTTGAGGCCTGTGGTAGTGAAGGAAAGAACTTCATATAAAAACCAGACGGTAGCACTCTCAGAAAATTCTTTGTGACGATGGAGTTTAACTCAGGGAGCTGAACATTCGTTATGATGGAGCAGTTTCCAAACACACGTTTTGTAGAATCTGCAAGGGGATATTTGGACCTCTCTGAGGATTTCGTTGGAAACGGGATCAACTTCCCATAACTGAACGGAAGCAAACTCAGAACATTCTTTGTGATGTTTGTATTCAACTCACAGAGTTGAACCTTCCTTTGATAGTTCAGGTTTGCAACACCCTTGTAGTAGAATCTGCAAGTATATATTTTGACCACTTTGTAGCCTTCGTTTGAAACTTCTATATCTTCACATCAAACCTAGACAGAAGCATTCTCAGAAAGTTTTCTGCGATGACTGCATTCAACTCACAGAGTTGAACAATCCTTCTGATGGAGCAGTTTTGAAACCCTCTTTCTTTGGAATCTGCAAGGGGATATGTGGACCTCTTTGAAGATTTCACTGGAAACGGGATCATCTTCACATAAAAACTAAACTGAAGCATTCTCGGAAACTATTTTGTGATGTTTGTATTCAACTCCCAGAGTTGAACTTTCCTTTTGAAAGAGCAGCTATGAAACACTCTTTTTCGAGAATCTGCAAGTGGACGTTTGGAGGGCTTTGAGGCCTGTGGTGGAAAAGGAAATATCTTCACACAAAAACCAGATAGAAGCATTCTCAGAAACTACTTTGTGAGGATGGCATTCAACTCATGGAGTTGAACAATCCTATTGATAGAGCAGATTGGAATCACTCTTTTTATAGAATCTGCAAATGGAGATTTGGACTGCTTTGAGGCCTACGGTAGTACAGGAAGGAACTTCATATAAAAGGCAAACGGAAGCATTCTCAGAATATTCTTTGTGATGATGGAGTTTCACTCACAGAGCTGAACATGCCTTTTGATTGAGCAGTTTCCAAATACACTTTTGGTAGAATCTGCAGGTGGATATTTGGAGCTCTCTGAGGATTTCGTTGGAAACGGGAATAATTTCCCATAACTAAACACAAACACTCTGAGAAAGTTCTTCATGATGAATGCTTTTAACTCGCAGAGATGAACCTGCCTTTGAGAGTTCAGGTTCGAAACACTCTTTCTGTAGAATCTGCAAGTGGATATTTGGACCACTGGGTGGCCTTCGTTCGAAACGGGTATATGTTCACGTAAAAACTAAAGAGAAGCATTCTCAGAAACTTCTGAGTGATGATTGCATTCAAGTCACACAGTTGAACCCTCCTTTTGATGGAGCAGTTTTGAAACTGTCTTTTTGTAGAATCTGTAAGTGGATACGTGGACCTCTTTGAAGATTTCTTTGGAAACGGGAATATTTCCACAGAAAAACTAAACTGAAGCATTCTCAGAAACCGCTTTGTGATGTTTGTGTTCGAGCCACAGAGTTTAACATTGCTTTTCATAGAGCAGTTTTGAAATATTCTTTTGGCAGAATCTGCAAGTGGACATTTGGAGCGCTTTCAGGCCTGTGGTGGAAAAGGCCTGAAAGCCTTTTCCTTTATCTTCACAGAAAGACGAGAGAGAAGCATTGTCAGAAACTTCTTTGTGATGATTGCATTCAACTCACAGAGTTGAAGATTCCTTTTGAAACAGCAGTTTCGAAACACTCTTTCTGTGGGATCCGCAAGGGGATATTTGGACCTCTTTGAAGGTTTCGTTGGAAACGGGATAATCTTCACCTAAAAGCTAAACGGAAGCATTCTCAGAAACTTCTTTGGGATGTTTGCATTCACCTCACAGAGTTGAACTTTCCCTTTGATAGCGCAGCTTTGACACACTTTTTCTACAATGTGCAAGTGGCTATTTAGCGGGCTTGGAGGACTGTGTTGGAAAAGGAAATATCTTCTCCTAAAAACGACATAGAAGCATTCTCAGAAACTGCTCTGTGATGATTGCATTCAACTCCCAGAGTTGAACATTCCTTTTGATAGAGCAGTTTGCAAACACTCTTTTTGTAGAATCTGCAAGTGGAGATTTGGACCGCTTTGAGGCCTGTGGTAGTGAAGGAAAGAACTTCATATAAAAACCAGACGGTAGCACTCTCAGAAAATTCTTTGTGACGATGGAGTTTAACTCAGGGAGCTGAACATTCGTTATGATGGAGCAGTTTCCAAACACACGTTTTGTAGAATCTGCAAGGGGATATTTGGACCTCTCTGAGGATTTCGTTGGAAACGGGATCAACTTCCCATAACTGAACGGAAGCAAACTCAGAACATTCTTTGTGATGTTTGTATTCAACTCACAGAGTTGAACCTTCCTTTGATAGTTCAGGTTTGCAACACCCTTGTAGTAGAATCTGCAAGTGTATATTTTGATCACTTTGTAGCCTTCGTTTGAAACGTCTATATCTTCACATCAAACCTAGACAGAAGCATTCTCAGAAAGTTTTCTGCGATGACTGCATTCAACTCACAGAGTTGAAGAATCCTTTTGATGGAGCAGTTTTGAAACCCTCTTTCTTTGGAATCTGCAAGGGGATATGTGGACCTCTTTGAAGATTTCACTGGAAACGGGATCATCTTCACATAAAAACTAAACAGAAGCATTCTCGGAAACTATTTTGTGATGTTTGTATTCAACTCCCAGAGTTGAACTTTCCTTTTGAAAGAGCAGCTATGAAACACTCTTTTTCGAGAATCTGCAAGTGGTCGTTTGGAGGGCTTTGAGGCCTGTGGTGGAAAAGGAAATATCTTCACACAAAAACCAGATAGAAGCATTCTCAGAAACTACTTTGTGAGGATGGCATTCAACTCATGGAGTTGAACAATCCTATTGATAGAGCAGATTGGAATCACTCTTTTTGTAGAATCTGCAAATGGAGATTTGGACTGCTTTGAGGCCTACAGTAGTACAGGAAGGAACTTCATATAAAAGGCAAACGGAAGCATTCTCAGAATATTCTTTGTGATGATGGAGTTTCACTCACAGAGCTGAACATGCCTTTTGATGGAGCAGTTTCCAAATACACTTTTGGTAGAATCTGCAGGTGGATATTTGGACCTCTCTGAGGATTTCGTTGGAAACGGGAATAATTTCCCATAACTAAACACAAACACTCTGAGAAAGTTCTTCATGATGAATGCATTTAACTCGCAGAGATGAACCTGCCTTTGAGAGTTCAGGTTCGAAACACTCTTTCTGTAGAATCTGCAAGTGGATATTTGGACCACTGGCTGGCCTTCGTTCGAAACGGGTATATGTTCACGTAAAAACTAAAGAGAAGCATTCTCAGAAACTTCTGAGTGATGATTGCATTCAAGTCACACAGTTGAACCCTCCTTTTGATGGAGCAGTTTTGAAACTGTCTTTTTGTAGAATCTGTAAGTGGATACGTGGACCTCTTTGAAGATTTCTTTGGAAACGGGAATATTTCCACAGAAAAACTAAACTGAAGCATTCTCAGAAACCGCTTTGTGATGTTTGTGTTCGAGCCACAGAGTTTAACATTGCTTTTCATAGAGCAGTTTTGAAATATTCTTTTCGCAGAATCTGCAAGTGGACATTTGGAGCGCTTTCAGGCCTGTGGTGGAAAAGGCCTGAAAGCCTTTTCCTTTATCTTCACAGAAAGACGAGAGAGAAGCATTGTCAGAAACTTCTTTGTGATGATTGCATTCAACTCACAGAGTTGAAGATTCCTTTTGAAACAGCAGTTTCGAAACACTCTTTCTGTGGGATCCGCAAGGGGATATTTGGACCTCTTTGAAGGTTTCGTTGGAAACGGGATAATCTTCACCTAAAAGCTAAACAGAAGCATTCTCAGAAACTTCTTTGGGATGTTTGCATTCACCTCACAGAGTTGAACTTTCCCTTTGATAGCGCAGCTTTGACACACTTTTTCTACAATGTGCAAGTGGCTATTTAGCGGGCTTGGAGGACTGTGTTGGAAAAGGAAATATCTTCTCCTAAAAACGACATAGAAGCATTCTCAGAAACTGCTCTGTGATGATTGCATTCAACTCCCAGAGTTGAACATTCCTTTTGATAGAGCAGTTTGCAAACACTCTTTTTGTAGAATCTGCAAGTGGAGATTTGGACCGCTTTGAGGCCTGTGGTAGTGAAGGAAAGAACTTCATATAAAAACCAGACGGTAGCACTCTCAGAAAATTCTTTGTGACGATGGAGTTTAACTCAGGGAGCTGAACATTCGTTATGATGGAGCAGTTTCCAAACACACGTTTTGTAGAATCTGCGAGGGGATATTTGGACCTCTCTGAGGATTTCGTTGGAAACGGGATCAACTTCCCATAACTGAACGGAAGCAAACTCAGAACATTCTTTGTGATGTTTGTATTCAACTCACAGAGTTGAACCTTCCTTTGATAGTTCAGGTTTGCAACACCCTTGTAGTAGAATCTGCAATTGTATATTTTGACCACTTTGTAGCCTTCGTTTGAAACGTCTATATCTTCACATCAAACCTAGACAGAAGCATTCTCAGAAAGTTTTCTGCGATGACTGCATTCAACTCACAGAGTTGAACAATCCTTCTGATGGAGCAGTTTTGAAACCCTCTTTCTTTGGAATCTGCAAGGGGATATGTGGACCTCTTTGAAGATTTCACTGGAAACGGGATCATCTTCACATAAAAACTAAACAGAAGCATTCTCGGAAACTACTTTGTGATGTTTGTATTCAACTCCCAGAGTTGAACTTTCCTTTTGAAAGAGCAGCTATGAAACACTCTTTTTCGAGAATCTGCAAGTGGACGTTTGGAGGGCTTTGAGGCCTGTGGTGGAAAAGGAAATATCTTCACACAAAAACCAGATAGAAGCATTCTCAGAAACTACTTTGTGAGGATGGCATTCAACTCATGGAGTTGAACAATCCTATTGATAGAGCAGATTGGAATCACTCTTTTTATAGAATCTGCAAATGGAGATTTGGACTGCTTTGAGGCCTACGGTAGTATAGGAAGGAACTTCATATAAAAGGCAAACGGAAGCATTCTCAGAATATTCTTTGTGATGATGGAGTTTCACTCACAGAGCTGAACATGCCTTTTGATGGAGCAGTTTCCAAATACACTTTTGGTAGAATCTGCAGGTGGATATTTGGAGCTCTCTGAGGATTTCGTTGGAAACGGGAATAATTTCCCATAACTAAACACAAACACTCTGAGAAAGTTCTTCATGATGAATGCATTTAACTCGCAGAGATGAACCTGCCTTTGAGAGTTCAGGTTCGAAACACTCTTTCTGTATAATCTGCAAGTGGATATTTGGACCACTGGGTGGCCTTCGTTCGAAACGCGTATATGTTCACGTAAAAACTAAAGAGAAGCATTCTCAGAAACTTCTGAGTGATGATTGCATTCAAGTCACACAGTTGAACCCTCCTTTTGATGGAGCAGTTTTGAAACTGTCTTTTTGTAGAATCTGTAAGTGGATACGTGGACCTCTTTGAAGATTTCTTTGGAAACGGGAATACTTCCACAGAAAAACTAAACTGAAGCATTCTCAGAAACCGCTTTGTGATGTTTGTGTTCGAGCCGCAGAGTTTAACATTGCTTTTCATAGAGCAGTTTTGAAATATTCTTTTCGCAGAATCTGCAAGTGGACATTTGGAGCGCTTTCAGGCCTGTGGTGGCAAAGGCCTGAAAGCCTTTTCCTTTATCTTCACAGAAAGACGAGAGAGAAGCATTGTCAGAAACTTCTTTTTGATGATTGCATTCAACTCACAGAGTTGAAGATTCCTTTTGAAACAGCAGTTTCGAAACACTCTTTCTGTGGGATCCGCAAGGGGATATTTGGACCTCTTTGAAGGTTTCGTTGGAAACGGGATAATCTTCACCTAAAAGCTAAACGGAAGCATTCTCAGAAACTTCTTTGGGATGTTTGCATTCACCTCACAGAGTTGAACTTTCCCTTTGATAGCGCAGCTTTGACACACTTTTTCTACAATGTGCAAGTGGCTATTTAGCGGGCTTGGAGGATTGTGTTGGAAAAGGAAATATCTTCTCCTAAAAACGACATAGAAGCATTCTCAGAAACTGCTCTGTGATGATTGCATTCAACTCCCAGAGTTGAACATTCCTTTTGATAGAGCAGTTTGCAAACACTCTTTTTGTAGAATCTGCAAGTGGAGATTTGGACCGCTTTGAGGCCTGTGGTAGTGAAGGAAAGAACTTCATATAAAAACCAGACGGTAGCACTCTCAGAAAATTCTTTGTGACGATGGAGTTTAACTCAGGGAGCTGAACATTCGTTATGATGGAGCAGTTTCCAAACACACGTTTTGTAGAATCTGCAAGGGGATATTTGGACCTCTCTGAGGATTTCGTTGGAAACGGGATCAACTTCCCATAACTGAACGGAAGCAAACTCAGAACATTCTTTGTGATGTTTGTATTCAACTCACAGAGTTGAACCTTCCTTTGATAGTTCAGGTTTGCAACACCCTTGTAGTAGAATCTGCAAGTGTATATTTTGACCACTTTGTAGCCTTCGTTTGAAACGTCTATATCTTCACATCAAACCTAGACAGAAGCATTCTCAGAAAGTTTTCTGCGATGACTGCATTCAACTCACAGAGTTGAACAATCCTTCTGATGGAGCAGTTTTGAAACCCTCTTTCTTTGGAATCTGCAAGGGGATATGTGGACCTCTTTGAAGATTTCACTGGAAACGGGATCATCTTCACATAAAAACTAAACAGAAGCATTCTCGGAAACTACTTTGTGATGTTTGTATTCAACTCCCAGAGTTGAACTTTCCTTTTCAAAGAGCAGCTATGAAACACTCTTTTTCGAGAATCTGCAAGTGGACGTTTGGAGGGCTTTGAGGCCTGTGGTGGAAAAGGAAATATCTTCACATAAAAACTAGATAGAAGCATTCTCAGAAACTACTTTGTGAGGATGGCATTCAACTCATGGAGTTGAACAATCCTATTGATAGAGCAGATTGGAATCACTCTTTTTGTAGAATCTGCAAATGGAGATTTGGACTGCTTTGAGGCCTACGGTCGTATAGGAAGGAACTTCATATAAAAGGCAAACGGAAGCATTCTCAGAATATTCTTTGTGATGATGGAGTTTCACTCACAGAGCTGAACATGCCTTTTGATGGAGCAGTTTCCAAATACACTTTTGGTAGAATCTGCAGGTGGATATTTGGAGCTCTCTGAGGATTTCGTTGGAAACGGGAATAATTTCCCATAACTAAACACAAACACTCTGAGAAAGTTCTTCATGATGAATGCATTTAACTCGCAGAGATGAACCTGCCTTTGAGAGTTCAGGTTCGAAACACTCTTTCTGTAGAATCTGCAAGTGGATATTTGGACCACTGGCTGGCCTTCGTTCGAAACGGGTATATGTTCACGTAAAAACTAAAGAGAAGCATTCTCAGAAACTTCTGAGTGATGATTGCATTCAAGTCACACAGTTGAACCCTCCTTTTGATGGAGCAGTTTTGAAACTGTCTTTTTGTAGAATCTGTAAGTGGATACGTGGACCACTTTGAAGATTTCTTTGGAAACGGAAATATTTCCACAGAAAAACTAAACTGAAGCATTCTCAGAAACCGCTTTGTGATGTTTGTGTTCGAGCCACAGAGTTTAACATTGCTTTTCATAGAGCAGTTTTGAAATATTCTTTTCGCAGAATCTGCAAGTGGACATTTGGAGCGCTTTCAGGCCTGTGGTGGAAAAGGCCTGAAAGCCTTTTCCTTTATCTTCACAGAAAGACGAGAGAGAAGCATTGTCAGAAACTTCTTTGTGATGATTGCATTCAACTCACAGAGTTGAAGATTCCTTTTGAAACAGCAGTTTCGAAACACTCTTTCTGTGGGATCCGCAAGGGGATATTTGGACCTCTTTGAAGGTTTCATTGGAAACGGGATAATCTTCACCTAAAAGCTAAACGGAAGCATTCTCAGAAACTTCTTTGGGATGTTTGCATTCACCTCACAGAGTTGAACTTTCCCTTTGATAGCGCAGCTTTGACACACTTTTTCTACAATGTGCAAGTGGCTATTTAGCGGGCTTGGAGGACTGTGTTGGAAAAGGAAATATCTTCTCCTAAAAACGACATAGAAGCATTCTCAGAAACTGCTCTGTGATGATTGCATTCAACTCCCAGAGTTGAACATTCCTTTTGATAGAGCAGTTTACAAACACTCTTTTTGTAGAATCTGCAAGTGGAGATTTGGACCGCTTTGAGGCCTGTGGTAGTGAAGGAAAGAACTTCATATAAAAACCAGACGGTAGCACTCTCAGAAAATTCTTTGTGACGATGGAGTTTAACTCAGGGAGCTGAACATTCGTTACGATGGAGCAGTTTCCAAACACACGTTTTGTAGAATCTGCAAGGGGATATTTGGACCTCTCTGAGGATTTCGTTGGAAACGGGATCAACTTCCCATAACTGAACGGAAGCAAACTCAGAACATTCTTTGTGATGTTTGTATTCAACTCACAGAGTTGAACCTTCCTTTGATAGTTCAGGTTTGCAACACCCTTGTAGTAGAATCTGCAAGTGTATATTTTGACCACTTTGTAGCCTTCGTTTGAAACATCTATATCTTCACATCAAACCTAGACAGAAGCATTCTCAGAAAGTTTTCTGCGATGACTGCATTCAACTCACAGAGTTGAACAATCCTTCTGATGGAGCAGTTTTGAAACCCTCTTTCTTTGGAATCTGCAAGGGGATATGTGGACCTCTTTGAAGATTTCACTGGAAACGGGATCATCTTCACATAAAAACTAAACAGAAGCATTCTCGGAAACTACTTTGTGATGTTTGTATTCAACTCCCAGAGTTGAACTTTCCTTTTGAAAGAGCAGCTATAAAACACTCTTTTTCGAGAATCTGCAAGTGGACGTTTGGAGGGCTTTGAGGCCTGTGGTGGAAAAGGAAATATCTTCACATAAAAACTAGATAGAAGCATTCTCAGAAACGACTTTGTGAGGATGGCATTCAACTCATGGAGTTGAACAATCCTATTGATAGAGCAGATTGGAATCACTCTTTTTGTAGAATCTGCAAATGGAGATTTGGACTGCTTTGAGGCCTACGGTCGTATAGGAAGGAACTTCAGATAAAAGGCAAACGGAAGCATTCTCAGAATATTCTTTGTGATGATGGAGTTTCACTGACAGAGCTGAACATGCCTTTTGATGGAGCAGTTTCCAAATACACTTTTGGTAGAATCTGCAGGTGGATATTTGGACCACTCTGAGGATTTCGTTGGAAACGGGAATAATTTCACATAACTAAACACAAACACTCTGAGAAAGTTCTTCATGATGAATGCATTTAACTCGCAGAGATGAACCTGCCTTTGAGAGTTCAGGTTCGAAACACTCTTTCTGTATAATCTGCAAGTGGATATTTGGACCACTGGGTGGCCTTCGTTCGAAACGGGTATATGTTCACGTAAAAACTAAAGAGAAGCATTCTCAGAAACTTCTGAGTGATGATTGCATTCAAGTCACACAGTTGAACCCTCCTTTTGATGGAGCAGTTTTGAAACTGTCTTTTTGTAGAATCTGTAAGTGGATACGTGGACCTCTTTGAAGATTTCTTTGGAAACGGGAATATTTCCACAGAAAAACTAAACTGAAGCATTCTCAGAAACTGCTTTGTGATGTTTGTGTTCGAGCCACAGAGTTTAACATTGCTTTTCATAGAGCAGTTTTGAAATATTCTTTTGGCAGAATCTGCAAGTGGACATTTGGAGCGCTTTCAGGCCTGTGGTGGAAAAGGCCTGAAAGCCTTTTCCTTTATGTTCACAGAAAGACGAGAGAGAGAAGCATTGTCAGAAACTTCTTTGTGATGATTGCATTCAACTCACAGAGTTGAAGATTCCTTTTGAAACAGCAGTTTCGAAACACTCTTTCTGTGGGATCCGCAAGGGGATATTTGGACCTCTTTGAAGGTTTCGTTGGAAACGGGATAATCTTCACCTAAAAGCTAAACGGAAGCATTCTCAGAAACTTCTTTGGGATGTTTGCATTCACCTCACAGAGTTGAACTTTCCCTTTGATAGCGCAGCTTTGACACACTTTTTCTACAATGTGCAAGTGGCTATTTAGCGGGCTTGGAGGATTGTGTTGGAAAAGGAAATATCTTCTCCTAAAAACGACATAGAAGCATTCTCAGAAACTGCTCTGTGATGATTGCATTCAACTCCCAGAGTTGAACATTCCTTTTGATAGAGCAGTTTGCAAACACTCTTTTTGTAGAATCTGCAAGTGGAGATTTGGACCGCTTTGAGGCCTGTGGTAGTGAAGGAAAGAACTTCATATAAAAACCAGACGGTAGCACTCTCAGAAAATTCTTTGTGACGATGGAGTTTAACTCAGGGAGCTGAACATTCGTTATGATGGAGCAGTTTCCAAACACACGTTTTGTAGAATCTGCAAGGGGATATTTGGACCTCTCTGAGGATTTCGCTGGAAACGGGATCAACTTCCCATAACTGAACGGAAGCAAACTCAGAACATTCTTTGTGATGTTTGTATTCAACTCACAGAGTTGAACCTTCCTTTGATAGTTCAGGTTTGCAACACCCTTGTAGTAGAATCTGCAAGTGTATATTTTGACCACTTTGTAGCCTTCGTTTGAAACGTCTATATCTTCACATCAAACCTAGAAAGAAGCATTCTTAGAAAGTTTTCTGCGATGACTGCATTCAACTCACAGAGTTGAACAATCCTTCTGATGGAGCAGTTTTGAAACCCTCTTTCTTTGGAATCTGCAAGGGGATATGTGGACCTCTTTGAAGATTTCACTGGAAACGGGATCATCTTCACATAAAAACTAAATATAAGCATTCTCGGAAACTACTTTGTGATGTTTGTATTCAACTCCCAGAGTTGAACTTTCCTTTTGAAAGAGCAGCTATGAAACACTCTTTTTCGAGAATCTGCAAGTGGACGTTTGGAGGGCTTTGAGGCCTGTGGTGGAAAAGGAAATATCTTCACACAAAAACCAGATAGAAGCATTCTCAGAAACTACTTTGTGAGGATGGCATTCAACTCATGGAGTTGAACAATCCTATTGATAGAGCAGATTGGAATCACTCTTTTTGTAGAATCTGCAAATTGAGATTTGGACTGCTTTGAGGCCTACGGTCGTATAGGAAGGAACTTCATATAAAAGGCAAACGGAAGCATTCTCAGAATATTCTTTGTGATGATGGAGTTTCACTCACAGAGCTGAACATGCCTTTTGATGGAGCAGTTTCCAAATACACTTTTGGTAGAATCTGCAGGTGGATATTTGGAGCTCTTTGAGGATTTCGTTGGAAACGGGAATAATTTCCCATAACTAAACACAAACACGCTGAGAAAGTTCTTCATGATGAATGCATTTAACTCGCAGAGATGAACCTGCCTTTGAGAGTTCAGGTTCGAAACACTCTTTCTGTAGAATCTGCAAGTGGATATTTGGACCACTGGGTGGCCTTCGTTCGAAACGGGTATATGTTCACGTAAAAACTAAAGAGAAGCATTCTCAGAAACTTCTGAGTGATGATTGCATTCAAGTCACACAGTTGAACCCTCCTTTTGATGGAGCAGTTTTGAAACTGTCTTTTTGTAGAATCTGTAAGTGGATACGTGGACCTCTTTGAAGATTTCTTTGGAAACGGGAATATTTCCACAGAAAAACTAAACTGAAGCATTCTCAGAAACCGCTTTGTGATGTTTGTGTTCGAGCCGCAGAGTTTAACATTGCTTTTCATAGAGCAGTTTTGAAATATTCTTTTCGCAGAATCTGCAAGTGGACATTTGGACCGCTTTCAGGCCTGTGGTGGCAAAGGCCTGAAAGCCTTTTCCTTTATCTTCACAGAAAGACGAGAGAGAAGCATTGTCAGAAACTTCTTTGTGATGATTGCATTCAACTCACAGAGTTGAAGATTCCTTTTGAAACAGCAGTTTCGAAACACTCTTTCTGTGGGATCCGCAAGGGGATATTTGGACCTCTTTGAAGGTTTCGTTGGAAACGGGATAATCTTCACCTAAAAGCTAAACGGAAGCATTCTCAGAAACTTCTTTGGGATGTTTGCATTCACCTCACAGAGTTGAACTTTCCCTTTGATAGCGCAGCTTTGACACACTTTTTCTACAATGTGCAAGTGGCTATTTAGCGGGCTTGGAGGACTGTGTTGGAAAAGGAAATATCTTCTCCTAAAAACGACATAGAAGCATTCTCAGAAACTGCTCTGTGATGATTGCATTCAACTCCCAGAGTTGAACATTCCTTTTGATAGAGCAGTTTGCAAACTCTCTTTTTGTAGAATCTGCAAGTGGAGATTTGGACCGCTTTGAGGCCTGTGGTAGTGAAGGAAAGAACTTCATATAAAAACCAGACGGTAGCACTCTCAGAAAATTCTTTGTGACGATGGAGTTTAACTCAGGGAGCTGAACATTCGTTATGATGGAGCAGTTTCCAAACACACGTTTTGTAGAATCTGCAAGGGGATATTTGGACCTCTCTGAGGATTTCGTTGGAAACGGGATCAACTTCCCATAACTGAACGGAAGCAAACTCAGAACATTCTTTGTGATGTTTGTATTCAACTCACAGAGTTGAACCTTCCTTTGATAGTTCAGGTTTGCAACACCCTTGTAGTAGAATCTGCAAGTGTATATTTTGACCACTTTGTAGCCTTCGTTTGAAACGTCTATATCTTCACATCAAACCTAGACAGAAGCATTCTTAGAAAGTTTTCTGCGATGACTGCATTCAACTCACAGAGTTGAACAATCCTTCTGATGGAGCAGTTTTGAAACCCTCTTTCTTTGGAATCTGCAAGGGGATATGTGGACCTCTTTGAAGATTTCACTGGAAACGGGATCATCTTCACATAAAAACTAAATATAAGCATTCTCGGAAACTACTTTGGGATGTTTGTATTCAACTCCCAGAGTTGAACTTTCCTTTTGAAAGAGCAGCTATGAAACACTCTTTTTCGAGAATCTGCAAGTGGACGTTTGGAGGGCTTTGAGGCCTGTGGTGGAAAAGGAAATATCTTCACATAAAAACTAGATAGAAGCATTCTCACAAACGACATTGTGAGGATGGAATTCAACTCATGGAGTTGAACAATCCTATTGATAGAGCAGATTGGAATCACTCTTTTTGTAGAATCTGCAAATGGAGATTTGGACTGCTTTGAGGCCTACGGTAGTATAGGAAGGAACTTCATATAAAAGGCAAACGGAAGCATTCTCAGAATATCCTTTGTGATGATGGAGTTTCACTCACAGAGCTGAACATGCCTTTTGATGGAGCAGTTTCCAAATACACTTTTGGTAGAATCTGCAGGTGGATATTTGGAGCTCTCTGAGGATTTCGTTGGAAACGGGAATAATTTCCCATAACTAAACACAAACACTCTGAGAAAGTTCTTCATGATGAATGCATTTAACTCGCAGAGATGAACCTGCCTTTGAGAGTTCAGGTTCGAAACACTCTTTCTGTAGAATCTGCAAGTGGATATTTGGACCACTGGCTGGCCTTCGTTCGAAACGGGTATATGTTCACGTAAAAACTAAAGAGAAGCATTCTCAGAAACTTCTGAGTGATGATTGCATTCAAGTCACACAGTTGAACCCTCCTTTTGATGGAGCAGTTTTGAAACTGTCTTTTTGTAGAATCTGTAAGTGGATACGTGGACCTCTTTGAAGATTTCTTTGGAAACGGGAATATTTCCACAGAAAAACTAAACTGAAGCATTCTCAGAAACTGCTTTGTGATGTTTGTGTTCGAGCGACAGAGTTTAACATTGCTTTTCATAGAGCAGTTTTGAAATATTCTTTTGGCAGAATCTGCAAGTGGACATTTGGAGCGCTTTCAGGCCTGTGGTGGAAAAGGCCTGAAAGCCTTTTCCTTTATCTTCACAGAAAGACGAGAGAGAAGCATTGTCAGAAACTTCTTTGTGATGATTGCATTCAACTCACAGAGTTGAAGATTCCTTTTGAAACAGCAGTTTCGAAACACTCTTTCTGTGGGATCCGCAAGGGGATATTTGGACCTCTTTGAAGGTTTCGTTGGAAACGGGATAATCTTCACCTAAAAGCTAAACGGAAGCATTCTCAGAAACTTCTTTGGGATGTTTGCATTCACCTCACAGAGTTGAACTTTCCCTTTGATAGCGCAGCTTTGACACACTTTTTCTACAATGTGCAAGTGGCTATTTAGCGGGCTTGGAGGACTGTGTTGGAAAAGGAAATATCTTCTCCTAAAAACGACATAGAAGCATTCTCAGAAACTGCTCTGTGATGATTGCATTCAACTCCCAGAGTTGAACATTCCTTTTGATAGAGCAGTTTGCAAACACTCTTTTTGTAGAATCTGCAAGTGGAGATTTGGACCGCTTTGAGGCCTGTGGTAGTGAAGGAAAGAACTTCATATAAAAACCAGACGGTAGCACTCTCAGAAAATTCTTTGTGACGATGGAGTTTAACTCAGGGAGCTGAACATTCGTTATGATGGAGCAGTTTCCAAACACACGTTTTGTAGAATCTGCAAGGGGATATTTGGACCTCTCTGAGGATTTCGTTGGAAACGGGATCAACTTCCCATAACTGAACGGAAGCAAACTCAGAACATTCTTTGTGATGTTTGTATTCAACTCACAGAGTTGAACCTTCCTTTGATAGTTCAGGTTTGCAACACCCTTGTAGTAGAATCTGCAAGTGTATATTTTGACCACTTTGTAGCCTTCGTTTGAAACGTCTATATCTTCACATCAAACCTAGAAAGAAGCATTCTCAGAAAGTTTTCTGCGATGACTGCATTCAACTCACAGAGTTGAACAATCCTTTTGATGGAGCAGTTTTGAAACCCTCTTTCTTTGGAATCTGCAAGGGGATATGTGGACCTCTTTGAAGATTTCACTGGAAACGGGATCATCTTCACATAAAAACTAAACAGAAGCAATCTCGGAAGCTATTTTGTGATGTTTGTATTCAACTCCCAGAGTTGAACTTTCCTTTTGAAAGAGCAGCTATGAAACACTCTTTTTCGAGAATCTGCAAGTGGACGTTTGGAGGGCTTTGAGGCCTGTGGTGGAAAAGGAAATATCTTCACACAAAAACCAGATAGAAGCATTCTCAGAAACGACTTGGTGAGGATGGCATTCAACTCATGGAGTTGAACAATCCTATTGATAGAGCAGATTGGAATCACTCTTTTTGTAGAATCTGCAAATGGAGATTTGGACTGCTTTGAGGCCTACGGTCGTATAGGAAGGAACTTCATATAAAAGGCAAACGGAAGCATTCTCAGAATATTCTTTGTGATGATGGAGTTTCACTCACAGAGCTGAACATGCCTTTTGATGGAGCAGTTTCCAAATACACTTTTGGTAGAATCTGCAGGTGGATATTTGGAGCTCTCTGAGGATTTCTTTGGAAACGGGAATAATTTCCCATAACTAAACACAAACACTCTGAGAAAGTTCTTCATGATGAATGCATTTAACTCGCAGAGATGAACCTGCCTTTGAGAGTTCAGGTTCGAAACACTCTTTCTGTAGAATCTGCAAGTGGATATTTGGACCACTGGGTGGCCTTCGTTCGAAACGGGTATATGTTCACGTAAAAACTAAAGAGAAGCATTCTCAGAAACTTCTGAGTGATGATTGCATTCAAGTCACACAGTTGAACCCTCCTTTTGATGGAGCAGTTTTGAAACTGTCTTTTTGTAGAATCTGTAAGTGGATACGTGGACCTCTTTGAAGATTTCTTTGGAAACGGGAATATTTCCACAGAAAAACTAAACTGAAACATTCTCAGAAACCGCTTTGTGATGTTTGTGTTCCAGCCACAGAGTTTAACATTGCTTTTCATAGAGCAGTTTTGAAATATTCTTTTGGCAGAATCTGCAAGTGGACATTTGGAGCGCTTTCAGGCCTGTGGTGGCAAAGGCCTGAAAGCCTTTTCCTTTATCTTCACAGAAAGACGAGAGAGAAGCATTGTCAGAAACTTCTTTGTGATGATTGCATTCAACTCACAGAGTTGAAGATTCCTTTTGAAACAGCAGTTTCGAAACACTCTTTCTGTGGGATCCGCAAGGGGATATTTGGACCTCTTTGAAGGTTTCGTTGGAAACGGGATAATCTTCACCTAAAAGCTAAACGGAAGCATTCTCAGAAACTTCTTTGGGATGTTTGCATTCACCTCACAGAGTTGAACTTTCCCTTTGATAGCGCAGCTTTGACACACTTTTTCTACAATGTGCAAGTGGCTATTTAGCGGGCTTGGAGGATTGTGTTGGAAAAGGAAATATCTTCTCCTAAAAACGACATAGAAGCATTCTCAGAAACTGCTCTGTGATGATTGCATTCAACTCCCAGAGTTGAACATTCCTTTTGATAGAGCAGTTTGCAAACACTCTTTTTGTAGAATCTGCAAGTGGAGATTTGGACCGCTTTGAGGCCTGTGGTAGTGAAGGAAAGAACTTCATATAAAAACCAGACGGTAGCACTCTCAGAAAATTCTTTGTGACGATGGAGTTTAACTCAGGGAGCTGAACATTCGTTATGATGGAGCAGTTTCCAAACACACGTTTTGTAGAATCTGCAAGGGGATATTTGGACCTCTCTGAGGATTTCGTTGGAAACGGGATCAACTTCCCATAACTGAACGGAAGCAAACTCAGAACATTCTTTGTGATGTTTGTATTCAACTCACAGAGTTGAACCTTCCTTTGATAGTTCAGGTTTGCAACACCCTTGTAGTAGAATCTGCAAGTGTATATTTTGACCACTTTGTAGCCTTCGTTTGAAACATCTATATCTTCACATCAAACCTAGACAGAAGCATTCTCAGAAAGTTTTCTGCGATGACTGCATTCAACTCACAGAGTTGAACAATCCTTCTGATGGAGCAGTTTTTAAACCCTCTTTCTTTGGAATCTGCAAGGGGATATGTGGACCTCTTTGAAGATTTCACTGGAAACGGGATCATCTTCACATAAAAACTAAACAGAAGCATTCTCGGAAACTATTTTGTGATGTTTGTATTCAACTCCCAGAGTTGAACTTTCCTTTTGAAAGAGCAGCTATGAAACACTCTTTTTCGAGAATCTGCAAGTGGACGTTTGGAGGGCTTTGAGGCCTGTGGTGGAAAAGGAAATATCTTCACATAAAAACTAGATAGAAGCATTCTCAGAAGCGACTTTGTGAGGATGGCATTCAACTCATGGAGTTGAACAATCCTATTGATACAGCAGATTGGAATCACTCTTTTTGTAGAATGTGCAAATGGAGATTTGGACTGCTTTGAGGCCTACGGTAGTACAGGAAGGAACTTCATATAAAAGGCAAACGGAAGCATTCTCAGAATATTCTTTGTGATGATGGAGTTTCACTGACAGAGCTGAACATGCCTTTTGATGGAGCAGTTTCCAAATACACTTTTGGTAGAATCTGCAGGTGGATATTTGGAGCTCTTTGAGGATTTCGTTGGAAACGGGAATAATTTCCCATAACTAAACACAAACACGCTGAGAAAGTTCTTCATGATGAATGCATTTAACTCGCAGAGATGAACCTGCCTTTGAGAGTTCAGTTTCGAAACACTCTTTCTGTAGAATCTGCAAGTGGATATTTGGACCACTGGGTGGCCTTCGTTCGAAACGGGTATATGTTCACGTAAAAACTAAAGAGAAGCATTCTCAGAAACTTCTGAGTGATGATTGCATTCAAGTCACACAGTTGAACCCTCCTTTTGATGGAGCAGTTTTGAAACTGTCTTTTTGTAGAATCTGTAAGTGGATACGTGGACCTCTTTGAAGATTTCTTTGGAAACGGGAATATTTCCACAGAAAAACTAAACTGAAGCATTCTCAGAAACCGCTTTGTGATGTTTGTGTTCGAGCCGCAGAGTTTAACATTGCTTTTCATAGAGCAGTTTTGAAATATTCTTTTGGCAGAATCTGCAAGTGGACATTTGGAGCGCTTTCAGGCCTGTGGTGGCAAAGGCCTGAAAGCCTTTTCCTTTATCTTCACAGAAAGACGAGAGAGAAGCATTGTCAGAAACTTCTTTGTGATGATTGCATTCAACTCACAGAGTTGAGGATTCCTTTTGAAACAGCAGTTTCGAAACACTCTTTCTGTGGGATCCGCAAGGGGATATTTGGACCTCTTTGAAGGTTTCGTTGGAAACGGGATAATCTTCACCTAAAAGCTAAACGGAAGCATTCTCAGAAACTTCTTTGGGATGTTTGCATTCACCTCACAGAGTTGAACTTTCCCTTTGATAGCGCAGCTTTGACACACTTTTTCTACAATGTGCAAGTGGCTATTTAGCGGGCTTGGAGGACTGTGTTGGAAAAGGAAATATCTTCTCCTAAAAACGACATAGAAGCATTCTCAGAAACTGCTCTGTGATGATTGCATTCAACTCCCAGAGTTGAACATTCCTTTTGATAGAGCAGTTTGCAAACACTCTTTTTGTAGAATCTGCAAGTGGAGATTTGGACCGCTTTGAGGCCTGTGGTAGTGAAGGAAAGAACTTCATATAAAAACCAGACGGTAGCACTCTCAGAAAATTCTTTGTGACGATGGAGTTTAACTCAGGGAGCTGAACATTCGTTATGATGGAGCAGTTTCCAAACACACGTTTTGTAGAATCTGCAAGGGGATATTTGGACCTCTCTGAGGATTTCTTTGGAAACGGGATCAACTTCCCATAACTGAACGGAAGCAAACTCAGAACATTCTTTGTGATGTTTGTATTCAACTCACAGAGTTGAACCTTCCTTTGATAGTTCAGGTTTGCAACACCCTTGTAGTAGAATCTGCAAGTGTATATTTTGACCACTTTGTAGCCTTCGTTTGAAACGTCTATATCTTCACATCAAACCTAGACAGAAGCATTCTCAGAAAGTTTTCTGCGATGACTGCATTCAACTCACAGAGTTGAACAATCCTTCTGATGGAGCAGTTTTGAAACCCTCTTTCTTTGGAATCTGCAAGGGGATATGTGGACCTCTTTGAAGATTTCACTGGAAACGGGATCATCTTCACATAAAAACTAAACAGAAGCATTCTCAGAAACTACTTTGTGATGTTTGTATTCAACTCCCAGAGTTGAACTTTCCTTTTGAAAGAGCAGCTATGAAACACTCTTTTTCGAGAATCTGCAAGTGGACGTTTGGAGGGCTTTGAGGCCTGTGGTGGAAAAGGAAATATCTTCACATAAAAACTAGATAGAAGCATTCTCAGAAACGACTTTGTGAGGATGGCATTCAACTCATGGAGTTGAACAATCCTATTGATAGAGCAGATTGGAATCACTCTTTTTGTAGAATCTGCAAATGGAGATTTGGACTGCTTTGAGGCCTAAGGTCGTATAGGAAGGAACTTCATATAAAAGGCAAACGGAAGCATTCTCAGAATATTCTTTGTGATGATGGAGTTTCACTCACAGAGCTGAACATGCCTCTTGATGGAGCAGTTTCCAAATACACTTTTGGTAGAATCTGCAGGTGGATATTTGGAGCTCTCTGAGGATTTCGTTGGAAACGGGAATAATTTCCCATAACTAAACACAAACACGCTGAGAACGTTCTTCATGATGAATGCATTGAACTCGCAGAGATGAACCTGCCTTTGAGAGTTCAGGTTCGAAACACTCTTTCTGTAGAATCTGCAAGTGGATATTTGGACCACTGGCTGGCCTTCGTTCGAAACGGGTATATGTTCACGTAAAAACTAAAGAGAAGCGTTCTCAGAAACTTCTGAGTGATGATTGCATTCAAGTCACACAGTTGAACCCTCCTTTTGATTGAGCAGTTTTGAAACTGTCTTTTTGTAGAATCTGTAAGTGGATACGTGGACCTCTTTGAAGATTTCTTTGGAAACGGGAATATTTCCACAGAAAAACTAAACTGAAGCATTCTCAGAAACTGCTTTGTGATGTTTGTGTTCGAGCCACAGAGTTTAACATTGCTTTTCATAGAGCAGTTTTCAAATATTCTTTTGGCAGAATCTGCAAGTGGACATTTGGAGCGCTTTCAGGCCTGTGGTGGAAAAGGCCTGAAAGCCTTTTCCTTTATCTTCACAGAAAGACGAGAGAGAAGCATTGTCAGAAACTTGTTTGTGATGATTGCATTCAACTCACAGAGTTGAAGATTCCTTTTGAAACAGCAGTTTCGAAACACTCTTTCTGTGGGATCCGCAAGGGGATATTTGGACCTCTTTGAAGATTTCGTTGCAAACGGGATAATCTTCACCTAAAAGCTAAACGGAAGCATTCTCAGAAACTTCTTTGGGATGTTTGCATTCACCTCACAGAGTTGAACTTTCCCTTTGATAGCGCAGCTTTGACACACTTTTTCTACAATGTGCAAGTGGCTATTTAGCGGGCTTGGAGGACTGTGTTGGAAAAGGAAATATCTTCTCCTAAAAACGACATAGAAGCATTCTCAGAAACTGCTCTGTGATGATTGCATTCAACTCCCAGAGTTGAACATTCCTTTTGATAGAGCAGTTTGCAAACACTCTTTTTGTAGAATCTGCAAGTGGAGATTTGGACCGCTTTGAGGCCTGTGGTAGTGAAGGAAAGAACTTCATATAAAAACCAGACGGTAGCACTCTCAGAAAATTCTTTGTGACGATGGAGTTTAACTCAGGGAGCTGAACATTCGTTATGATGGAGCAGTTTCCAAACACACGTTTTGTAGAATCTGCGAGGGGATATTTGGACCTCTCTGAGGATTTCGTTGGAAACGGGATCAACTTCCCATAACTGAACGGAAGCATTCTCAGAAAGTTTTCTGCGATGACTGCATTCAACTCACAGAGTTGAACAATCCTTCTGATGGAGCAGTTTTTAAACCCTCTTTCTTTGGAATCTGCAAGGGGATATGTGGACCTCTTTGAAGATTTCACTGGAAACGGGATCATCTTCACATAAAAACTAAACAGAAGCATTCTCGGAAACTACTTTGTGATGTTTGTATTCAACTCCCAGAGTTGAACTTTCCTTTTGAAAGAGCAGCTATGAAACACTCTTTTTCGAGAATCTGCAAGTGGACGTTTGGAAGGCTTTGAGGCCTGTGGTGGAAAAGGAAATATCTTCACATAAAAACTAGATAGAAGCATTCTCAGAAACGACTTTGTGAGGATGGCATTCAACTCATGGAGTTGAACAATCCTATTGATAGAGCAGATTGGAATCACTCTTTTTGTAGAATCTGCAAATGGAGATTTGGACTGCTTTGAGGCCTACGGTCGTATAGGAAGGAACTTCAGATAAAAGGCAAACGGAAGCATTCTCAGAATATTCTTTGTGATGATGGAGTTTCACTCACAGAGCTGAACATGCCTTTTGATGGAGCAGTTTCCAAATACACTTTTGGTAGAATCTGCAGGTGGATATTTGGAGCTCTCTGAGGATTTCGTTGGAAACGTTAATAATTTCCCATAACTAAACACAAAAACACTCTGAGAAAGTTCTTCATGATGAATGCATTTAACTCGCAGAGATGAACCTGCCTTTGAGAGTTCAGGTTCGAAACACTCTTTCTGTAGAATCTGCAAGTGGATATTTGGACCACTGGGTGGCCTTCGTTCGAAACGGGTATATGTTCACCTAAAAACTAAAGAGAAGCATTCTCAGAAACTTCTGAGTGATGATTGCATTCAAGTCACACAGTTGAACCCTCCTTTTGATGGAGCAGTTTTGAAACTGTCTTTTTGTAGAATCTGTAAGTGGATACGTGGACCTCTTTGAAGATTTCTTTGGAAACGGGAATATTTCCACAGAAAAACTAAACTGAAGCATTCTCAGAAACTGCTTTGTGATGTTTGTGTTCGAGCCACAGAGTTTAACATTGCTTTTCATAGAGCAGTTTTGAAATATTCTTTTAGCAGAATCTGCAAGTGGACATTTGGAGCGCTTTCAGGCCTGTGGTGGAAAAGGCCTGAAAGCCTTTTCCTTTATCTTCACAGAAAGACGAGAGAGAAGCATTGTCAGAAACTTCTTTGTGATGATTGCATTCAACTCACAGAGTTGAAGATTCCTTTTGAAACAGCAGTTTCGAAACACTCTTTCTGTGGGATCCGCAAGGGGATATTTGGACCTCTTTGAAGGTTTCGTTGGAAACGGGATAATCTTCACCTAAAAGCTAAACGGAAGCATTCTCAGAAACTTCTTTGGGATGTTTGCATTCACCTCACAGAGTTGAACTTTCCCTTTGATAGCGCAGCTTCGACACACTTTTTCTACAATGTGCAAGTGGCTATTTAGCGGGCTTGGAGGACTGTGTTGGAAAAGGAAATATCTTCTCCTAAAAACGACATAGAAGCATTCTCAGAAACTGCTCTGTGATGATTGCATTCAACTCCCAGAGTTGAACATTCCTTTTGATAGAGCAGTTTGCAAACACTCTTTTTGTAGAATCTGCAAGTGGAGATTTGGACCGCTTTGAGGCCTGTGGTAGTGAAGGAAAGAACTTCATATAAAAACCAGACGGTAGCACTCTCAGAAAATTCTTTGTGACGATGGAGTTTAACTCAGGGAGCTGAACATTCGTTATGATGGAGCAGTTTCCAAACACACGTTTTGTAGAATCTGCGAGGGGATATTTGGACCTCTCTGAGGATTTCTTTGGAAACGGGATCAACTTCCCATAACTGAACGGAAGCAAACTCAGAACATTCTTTGTGATGTTTGTATTCAACTCACAGAGTTGAACCTTCCTTTGATAGTTCAGGTTTGCAACACCCTTGTAGTAGAATCTGCAAGTGTATATTTTGACCACTTTGTAGCCTTCGTTTGAAACGTCTATATCTTCACATCAAACCTAGAAAGAAGCATTCTCAGAAAGTTTTCTGCGATGACTGCATTCAACTCACAGAGTTGAACAATCCTTCTGATGGAGCAGTTTTGAAACCCTCTTTCTTTGGAATCTGCAAGGGGATATGTGGACCTCTTTGATGATTTCACTGGAAACGGGGTCATCTTCACATAAAAACTAAACAGAAGCATTCTCGGAAACTACTTTGTGATGTTTGTATTCAACTCCCAGAGTTGAACTTTCCTTTTGAAAGAGCAGCTATGAAACACTCTTTTTCGAGAATCTGCAAGTGGACGTTTGGAGGGCTTTGAGGCCTGTGGTGGAAAAGGAAATATCTTCACATAAAAACTAGATAGAAGCATTCTCAGAAACTACTTTGTGAGGATGGCATTCAACTCATGGAGTTGAACAATCCTATTGATAGAGCAGATTGGAATCACTCTTTTTGTAGAATCTGCAAATGGAGATTTGGACTGCTTTGAGGCCTACGGTCGTATAGGAAGGAACTTCATATAAAAGGCAAACGGAAGCATTCTCAGAATATTCTTTGTGATGATGGAGTTTCACTCACAGAGCTGAACATGCCTTTTGATGGAGCAGTTTCCAAATACACTTTTGGTAGAATCTGCAGGTGGATATTTGGACCTCTCTGAGGATTTCGTTGGAAACGGGAATAATTTCCCATAACTAAACACAAACACTCTGAGAAAGTTCTTCATGATGAATGCATTTAACTCGCAGAGATGAACCTGCCTTTGAGAGTTCAGGTTCGAAACACTCTTTCTGTAGAATCTGCAAGTGGATATTTGGACCACTGGGTGGCCTTCGTTCGAAACGGGTATATGTTCACGTAAAAACTAAAGAGAAGCATTCTCAGAAACTTGTGAGTGATGATTGCATTCAAGTCACACAGTTGAACCCTCCTTTTGATGGAGCAGTTTTGAAACTGTCTTTTTGTAGAATCTGTAAGTGGATAAGTGGACCTCTTTGAAGATTTCTTTGGAAACGGGAATATTTCCACAGAAAAACTAAACTGAAGCATTCTCAGAAACCGCTTTGTGATGTTTGTGTTCGAGCCACAGAGTTTAACATTGCTTTTCATAGAGCAGTTTTGAAATATTCTTTTGGCAGAATCTGCAAGTGGACATTTGGAGCGCTTTCAGGCCTGTGGTGGAAAAGGCCTGAAAGCCTTTTCCTTTATCTTCACAGAAAGACGAGAGAGAAGCATTGTCAGAAACTTCTTTGTGATGATTGCATTCAACTCACAGAGTTGAAGATTCCTTTTGAAACAGCAGTTTCGAAACACTCTTTCTGTGGGATCCGCAAGGGGATATTTGGACCTCTTTGAAGGTTTCGTTGGAAACGGGATAATCTTCACCTAAAAGCTAAACGGAAGCATTCTCAGAAACTTCTTTGGGATGTTTGCATTCACCTCACAGAGTTGAACTTTCCCTTTGATAGCGCAGCTTTGACACACTTTTTCTACAATGTGCAAGTGGCTATTTAGCGGGCTTGGAGGACTGTGTTGGAAAAGGAAATATCTTCTCCTAAAAACGACATAGAAGCATTCTCAGAAACTGCTCTGTGATGATTGCATTCAACTCCCAGAGTTGAACATTCCTTTTGATAGAGCAGTTTGCAAACACTCTTTTTGTAGAATCTGCAAGTGGAGATTTGGACCGCTTTGAGGCCTGTGGTAGTGAAGGAAAGAACTTCATATAAAAACCAGACGGTTTTCTTTTCTTTTTTTTTTTTGAGACGGAGTCTTGCTCTGTTGCCAGGGCTGGAGTGCAGTGCTGAGATCTCAGCTTATTGGAACCTCTGCCTCCCAGGTCCAAGCCATTCTTTCTCCCTCCTCAGCCTTCTGAGTAGCTAGGATTACAGGTGCCCACCATCATGCCCAACTAATTTTTGTATTTTTAGTAGAGATGATGTTTTCTACAAAACGTGTGTTTGGAAACTGCTCCATCATAACGAATGTTCAGCTCCCTGAGTTAAACTCCATCGTCACAAAGAATTTTCTGAGAGTGCTAC